>NC_000004.12:155588047-155891077 GCF_000001405.40 Homo sapiens | reverse complement strand
TTTTATTGCCCTTTGAAGCATGTGATCTTTGAGACTTATGCCCTGTTCGTACCCCCTTCCCCTTTTGAAATCCCTAATAAAAACTTGCTGGTTTTGCAGCTCAGGGGCATCATGGAACCTACCAATAGGTGATGTCACCCTCGAGGCCCAGCTGTAAAATTTCTTTCTTTTGTACTCCTTCTCTTTATTTCTCAGACCGACCGACACTTAAGGAAAATAGAAAATAACCTACGTTGAAATATTGGGGGCTGGCTCCCCCAATATAAAATGATTTTATATCACAATTAGGGCTATGAAAAAAAATAAAGCAGGGTCATGGAACAGGGAATAGCAGAGAAGGAAGGTGAAGGCAAACTCCTCTGAGAGGGAGACACCAATGGAAACCAAATGGTGAGGAATCAGCCAGGCACAGATCTGGGTGAACGTAAGATCAGATATAAAGATGCATGTACCTTTTACAGAATTTTAATTCCAAGACAAATTTATAAAAACATACAAAATAAAATAATATGTTAAACATGTTTAAATTTACAAATCTAATTTAATGTTCTGTTGAAACTGAGGTATCTGCCACAGTGTGACTATTTACAAGTGTTTTAACACAGGTTTTCCGAGTCTTGCTGGTCTACAATGACGGAGCCGTGTGATGCCTCAATTTCTTGAGCTCTTTGTCTATTCATACAATCCTAAAACATCTGTTCCAATAGCACATAGTGATAACATCCAGCATTTGCTTGATGTGAACAGTCATATACCTATGAAACTCACCTGTGTTCTTTTCTCATTTGCTTAGAACAGAAGTTAGAAAAGTACCAGGTGATGACATGCATATAAACAAATGCATATCTTCTTGTATCACCGGTGAAATGTAATGGAGCTTTCTTTTGCCAACATAGAAGCACTCTCAAGGCTGGGAGGATGGAGGAAAACTCCTCATTAGCTCTGACCTACTGCAGTAGAACATTCTTCTCATAAGCATGTGCAACACAGTTGGCTAAAATTCTTAAACAAAAGCACGCAAAAATATTTCCATTTAATGGGAACAAGTTATTTTCAACATGTAATTTTTCAACCCTTTTTTATGCTGGTTTCAGAAAAAAATGTTTAAACCAGAAATAATAATATAGATGCCATTTTTGAATTTTTTCTATCTATTCATTTCACTTCAGATACTAGGAATGTCTGTTTTTAAAAAGAATTCTAATTAAATAAAAATTTTTCTTCTTCTACCAAACAAACAAATCTGTAAGATAATATGTATTTGAATGGCAACCAAATTGTTAGCTAACTCTAATTGCCCACATATCTTAGCCCAGCCCTGTTTCTTCCTCATGTCTGACTGAAGCTAGCCCCATCTCTTTCTACTCTTTTTCTACAGCTGGCAGAAGTTGCATTAAATCGCCTGCCAAAATGACTTGGTCTGTAATCTTTAACCAAGGCTGTCTATTTCTGACTCACTTCACAGATGGGAAACGGAAGTCCAGAGAATTTCAAAATATTGCCTGAGTGCATCAGCTAATTAGAGGTGAAATTGGAACAAAGCCATTTAAAAGTCTCATGACTTCAACAGTGCAATGATCGTTCCCTTACGTTTCAAAACTTCTTTCATTAAACAAAATGCTTACAAGACAGTTTGTTAAAATATTATTATTAGCTCCAAAAGAAAAAAAAACTTTAAAAAATTTAAAATATACATTCAATGGACATGAAAAAATGCAGCTAAAAACAGGAAGATAGGGAGAATGGGGCAAAAGAAAAATGCATGTAGTAAAATATTATTAAGCCATGAATGAGATGATTACAACATGATCTGTAAGAATCACGAGAGTTGTTAGACATGGGTCCAAATTTGGCCCCAAGTTTTCTGGCAGCCAACACAAAGAAGGAAATTACATAAGTAGATAATCTACAGTCCCACTAAAATAAAAATAAACTAGTTTTCAGGAATATCACAAGCAGCCCTGGGAAAGAGAAAATCCCTTCATTCTAATATAAGACTACCTAGAATGTCAGTGAGTTGGACACTAATCTCAATTGATATTTAGGCACATCATAATTCTCAATCAATAGATTGTGCCTTAATATCTATTCTCATCAACAGATTGAGAATTATGATGTGCCTAAATTCCCTAAGAAGTTTTATTAATATGCTGCAGTTTTAACTCAGCACTTTAGTAAGTGGTCTGAAACAGAATTTCTGCCATTGATTTATTAGGGGTAATAAAGGAAAGTTTCTGTAATCAAAGGCTGGCTGTACACAAGCCAATATAGATCCTTCAAAGCTTCTTAAAACCTTTAAAGTTGCCAAAGTGCACGGTGACTCTCAAATTTAGGTGACGTTTAAAAAATCAAAGAAATTTATCAATGAACTGGTATTATATAGAACATAATTTGAGAAGTCCTCTGCTAGATATCTGAAACACTGCCTAACTCACATTAGAATCTTGATGACTTATCTGGAAATGACCTTTACTGTGCAAACTTGGTAAAATAAAATAAAATAAAATAAAATACAAGAAGAAGCACGATGATATGCAACAGATAGTGACTGGTGATTGGGTATTGTAATTTTCATCCAGGAGGCAGATGGAAAAAGTGCGACTAGAATTTTCACTGGAGATGTCAGAGGTATTTGAACCAGAGTGACCTCATCTTGAATAGGGACTAAGTAAAATAAGGCTGAGATCTGCTGGGCTGCATTCTCAATAGGTTAGGCATTCTTAGTCACAAGATGAGATAGGAGGCACAAGATACAGGTTATAAAGACCTCACTGATAAAACTGGTTGCAGTAAAGGAGCCAGCCTGAAACCTCCAAATCCAAGATGGCGTTGAAAGTGACTTCCGGTCATCCTCACTCCTCCTTGTACGCTAACTATAATGCATTAGCATGCTAAAAGACACTCCCACCAGCACCGTGACAGTTTACAAATGCCATGGCAACATCAGGAAGTTAACCTAAATGGTCTAAAAAGGAGAGGTTCACCCTTTTCCCAGAAAATGCATGAATAATCCACTCCTTGTTTAGCATATAATCAAGAAATAACTATAAGAATACTCAGCTGAGCAGCCCATGCCACTGCTCTGCCTATGAAGTAGCCATTCTTTATTTCTTTACTTTCTTAATAAACTTGTTTTCACTTTACAGAGCCACCCCAAATTCTTTCTTGTACAAGGTCCAAGAACCCTCTCTTGGGGTCTGGATCAGGACCCCTTTCTGGTAACAGAAGTAGGAGTCTTTCAAGTTAGCAGAAAAGGGAATTTGAGTTCATTGTGTGTGGTCTTCTTTGCTGCAACAAGTAAAAAGCCCAGCTTCATAAGATGCCTTCATGTGGTATAAAATAACATGGATATCCTCCCTTGGATTTCCTTAAGTCTTCAAGATGTGGTTAAATTCCTTTCCTTCTCATGATGTCTTCTCATAGCACCATCAGTGCACCGTGAAATCAAACTTCTGTGATTTCAGAGAATTTATTAAACTATCTGACAAGTGTTTGCTTTGTCTCTGCATTTAGAGTGCATGTTTTGTATCTCCCAGAGAGCACAATAGCTTGTCTTGTCATGATAGTGTAAGCTGAAAAGTATCTGAGATAGGTCTCAATCAATGTAAAGGTGTATTTTGCCAATGTCATTCAACATGCCCAGGAAAAAGGAACACAAAACTACAGGACTATCTGTAAGCCATGCCTTTTCCTAAGAGGATTTTGAGGGCTTCAATGTTTAACAGGGAAAAGTGTGCAATGGGGGAAAGAGGGCATGTATAACATTACTGAATCCACATGTGGCATGTGATAAGTAGAGGGTAGAGGGAAACAGTTAATTATGTATTCTCTTGTGTTCAGTAAATCTGCACTTTACATAAAATAAAGTAAACATAGAGCAGTTACTCGTACAGACATCTGGCTTTCTATCTGTAGCTATCAGCTTAGAAACAAAAGGAAAGGCAATTTCTTGTGTGACTCAATTTCCAAGCTTAACTTTTCCCTTTGGCCTAGTGAATTTGGGGTCCCAAGGATTTACTTTCTTTTCACAATAAACACTACAGTTTTGTGACTGACTGAATGAAACAACATGATTGACTTGATTGTGTAAAAGGTTTTCTTAATAATGGTAAATGCCAAATTAAAGACTGACTTGTCTAAAGACAAGACCTGACTTGAGGATTGAAATAATGTGACATCTTTATACCTAAAATTTATGAATTTAGGCTTGTAATTATAATTAGCATCAACCTTTTAAAAGAAAAATATATGAGTTATTCCAGACAACACAGGCTAATCTAAAATAATAATTGCTAACATGTATCAAGCTTACATCTTATCTCACTTAATTCTTACAACAGCTTTATGAGACCCTATTGTCCTGATTATACAGAAGGAAAAAGTACGTTGGAGGAGTTGAGGGATTTCTCACGGTTACACAGGTGTAACTGAAATACAGGTTAGGCACTTGCCACTTGCAGAGTCCCATTATCAAGACCGATTTCTGGTATAAAGAAAGTGATTTATTCCAAAGTTAGTTTGGGGAAGAAAAACAGGTTTCCCACCTGAGGATACTACTTTGCTTTTGGAGCAGAAAGTAGACACTTTGAAAGGAAGAGGAGAAAGCGAGCAAGAGAGGGGTCCATGTGCTAGCTCTGGTGCCTTGCCTACTGTGCAGTCGAGCTGGTGACTGCTGGCCTCTTCATGGGCGGGAATAGGCCAGAAACTCCCCAGCTAGGAGATAGCAGCAGGCACGCTTTTTGACTGTTACCTCTTGAGGCAATCTCCTGGTAAGTGAGAGTTCTGTGACAGTCATGCTATTTTTTGTTTGTTTGTTTGTTTGTTTTGAGATGGAGTCTTGCTCTGCAGCCCAGGCTAGAGTGTCGTGGCTCCATCTCAGCTCACCGCAAGCTCTGCCTCCCGGGTTCAAGTGAATCTCCTGCCTCAGCCTCCTGAGTAACTGGGATTATAGGCATGCATCACCATGCCCGGCTAATTTTTGTATTTTTAGTAGAGATGGGGTTTCACCATGTTGGTCAGCCTGGTCTCGAACTCCTGACCTCATGATCCGCCTGCCTCCACCTCCCAAAGTGCTGAGATTACAGGCGTGAGCCACTATGCCCGGCCACAGTCATGCTTTCATTTGTAAATCAACTGTTAACTCTAGAGGAGAGCTCTCTCTTGCAGCACGTACTTATATGAACTTGCCCTGTACAAAGTGTCTGGTGAATGGGGTAAAAGGCTATATTTGCATTTCTAAAGGGCTGAGTAGGAAGTGGGGAACCAGGGAAACAAGAAAAGAAAATAAAGATAGAAAAAAAATGATTAATCTATCTTTTAGAAAATACGCATACTTGGTTACACAGTCAGTAAATGATAGAGCCAGAATTCAAATCTCATCTGATTTCAAATACTGTGCATTCTCTCTACTCTGTTAAGCTGCTTGCCACTGATGAAGTTGCTTTGTCTCCTAAAAGAGTATATTATCTTAAAGTTAATTCAAACTACTTGACAAAATATTATCAACTTGATGAACTATAATAATGATAAGTAGGAGAACCACAAAATGTTCAAAGAAGAAAGTCTATAAAAATAAACTCAAAATTAATGGCAGCTTTTAACTTGTTTTTGTTTGTTTGTTTTTTAATTCAAATTATTGTTCTGACCTGGGGGCCTTGTAGCTTATTTTAAGCAAAAGCTTTCCCTTATCTTAGGCTAAAAAGGCTAGTTCAAAAGAACCACATGCCCTGCAAACCTTCAGCTGCTGCCACCAACCAGGGACAGATTTTATTTTATAGAAGGTAAAGACCCATTGTTCTCTCATTGATTGTTAAATCCATTTCATGCATCGATAATAATTTCTCAGCAACACTGCAATATGTGTATACCAATAGATTTCATTTTTTTTTTAGCCACCTGCCTTGGTGTCCTGCCTGAGAAACATGTTTATCCTGGTAAAGGTTGGTGTTTGCTTTGTGTATTGTAAACACCCAGAATTGTTATTAACTATTTGGTTACTTCAGTTGTCCTTTGCAATCGTTATCTGACTAGATATTTACAAATGCAGACAGAAAACAACCTCATTCACTTAGGAATTCTTTAAAGTACCTAATGCTTTCTTTAGGAGAGAGGTTATATCAAGTTAAAAGTTCTCAAGGAAAGAACTGGTCTCAGAATTTTTGCCATAGCCACCAGCCACAGGTGGCTATTGAGCACATGAAATGTGGCAGGTTCAAATCGAGATGTGAGTGTAAAATATACACCAGATTTCAAACAGTAAGCACTAAAACAGATGGAAAATAGCTCCTGAACAATTCTTATATTGATTGTTTGGTCAAATGAAATCTATTCTTAAAATTAAATTTTAAGGCCAGGCGTGGTGGCTCACACCTGTAATCCTAGCACTTTGGGAGGCAGAGGCAGGCGGATCACCTGACGTCACGATTGTGAGATCAACCTGGCCAACATAGTGACACTCCAACTTCATTAAAAATACAAAAATTAGCCGGGCATGGTGGTGCACATCTGTAGTCCCAGCTACTTGGGAGGCTGAGGCAAGAGAAACGCTTGAACAAGGGAGGTGGAGGTTGCAGTGAGCCGAGATTGTACCACTGCACCCCAGCCTGGGCAGTGAGCCGAGATCACACCACTGTACCCCAGCCTGGGCTATAGAGTAAGACTCCGTCTCAAAAAAAAAAAAAAAAAAAACTAAATTTTGCTTATTTCTTTCTACATTTTTACAGGAAAATCCAAAATTATATATGTGTCTCGAACTATATTTCTACTGGATGTCTCCATCCTGGACTTTTCTACAACAAATAACTGTCACTCTTTATAATTTTAACTCCCTGCATACCGTTTTCTGCCCACCATCTTTCTGTTTACAGCTTACTTGTTTTACCATCCTGACCTCAGCAATCTTTCTGGGATCTCTGATGCACTGAACTAACTAACGTTTCTCTGTCCTTCACCCCTTGAGTGTGCTTGCCCCACTCTCACCTTGTTGCACATGGCGATTAATGATTAGTGATTTCAGTCACTCCTTGCCATTTACTCTCAGTTCTCTTGTTCTCTCTCACTTGGTCACACTTCTAGAGCCAAAATTCTATCCTGGATAAATTGCACTCTCCAGTGATTTGGTGCCTGCTCTCTGGCAACTGAATGTGGCTGGAGAAAAAAAAATAAACAAAAACTCAAAACCAAATTTACTAGATTCAGTTTAAAATCATAACCATGAATGTCAAGTGGACTCTCCACATTGCTAGGACATCACGCGATACATTTTGAGATCATTCTTTTGTTTTTGTTTTTGTGTTAGTTTTGAGACAGCATCACATCTCTCTCTGTCACACAGTCTGGAGTACAGTGGCACAATAATGGGTCACTGCAATCTCTGCCTCCCAAGTTCAAGCGATTCTTGTGCCTCAGCATCCTGAGTAGCTGCAACTACAGGTGCATGCCACCACATGTGGATAATTTTTGTATTTTTATTAAAGGTGGGGTTTTGCCATGTTGGCCAGGCTGATCTCAAACTCCTGGCCTCAAGTGACCCACCTGCCTTGTCCTCCCAAACTGTTAGGATTACAGGTGTGAGCCACTGTGGCTGGCCTACTAGACCATTGATTTTATCAATTTTCACACCTTAGCCTCTCTCTCAAACCTCTATTTCTACTTTCAGCTGATTACTCTGATATCTTTTTCACTAAGAAATTTCAAATAATCAGAGGAATATTACCATTTTGATATCTATAGCCTCCTAGTATGTATTCCCATATAATCTGAATTCCTATGTTCATATCACAAATGAACTATCTATTGCAAACTCTCTATTTGGGTGTTAAATCATGATTCATCGAACTCCTCAAGAATTGTGCTCTGACAAATAGGCCTTCTTCCTCCCACATATTTACTTTTTAGGGCATTTATACTTACGAATTTATAAATTTATAAAAATGGTATTATGTCTCTAATTTATGAAAAAACTTTTATTGGTTACATTTTCCGTGTCGGCACCATTTTATTGTTTTGCTTAGTAGTAAAACTCCTCAAGACAGTGGTTTGTTATTTGCTTCTACCACTTTTCTAACACTGCCACATTGCTGAAATCAATGGTCAATATTCAGGCCTCATTGTGCTTGACCCATCAGCAACATTTGACACAGCTGATCACTATGTTCATTACCCTTTCCAGCTTCTGGTAGCTTTTAGCATTCCTGAGCATGCGGCAGCATTAACTTCACCTCTGCTTCACCTCCATCTTCACACAGCTTTCCTTTCTGCACTTTTCTGTGTCCAAGTATTCTTCTCTTTTTGGTCTTTTATGAAGACACCAGTTATTCGGATTTAAGAACCACCTTAAGTCCAGGATCTTGAGATCCTTAAATAATTATATTTATAAAAATCTTGGCCGGGCACAGTGGCTCACGCCTGAATCCCACCACTTTGGGAGGTTGAGGTGGGCAGATCACGAGGTCAAGAGATCGAGACCATCCTGGCCAACATGGTGAAACCCCATGTCTACTAAAAATACAAAAATTAGCTGGGTGTTGTGGCATGCAACTGTAGTCCCAGCTACTCAGGAGGCTGAGGCAGGAGAATTGCTTGAACCCGGGAGGCAGAGGTTGCAGTGAGCTGAGATCATGCCACTGCACTCCAGCCTGGCAATAGAGTGAGACTCTGTCTCAAAACAAAACAAAACAAACAAACAAAAAATTATTTCCAAAGAAAGTCACATTCTGAGATTCTAGATGGACATGGATTTTGGGAAATACTGTTTTACTCTTTGCAGGACCTTGGTATCCTTAAATAACTATAACTATAAAGATCCTATTTCCAAACAAGGTCATAATTTAAAGTTCTGGATGGACATGAATTTTGGGAAATACTATTTTACTACAGTGTGTAAAATCTACATGAGAAAAAATTGACAATCATTTATGTTATATTATCACCCAGGAATTGTGCCTTTTCAATGTTCTATTGTTTATTTTGCTATCTTTGAGTTATTTTTGTTTTATTTTGATCTATTTTTTTAGAAAATGCATTTACCACACAACTAATAACCTTCTACTAGAATAGTGCCCAAAGTTATGGAAATGATGAGAAATCAATATTTTTGTTCTAAATAATTGACAGTCAGGTAAATGTCTCCCTGATGTTCTAGTACACAGAGATAAGAGATCAGAGTTGAGAAAACGAAACTTAAAACTGCAGGGAGAATATTTGAAGAAACCCTGTCCAAGTCACCTTGACCCATGAAATCATGTACTGTGTGGACACATAATTTGGCAAGCTAATGGGCCTACAAGTTAAGCATTAGTGGAGTCCTTCCCCATCTCTTGACCAATAATAGGAATACTTTCAATATTTATGGCAAACCATGGAGTTGTTTTAAACTGAAGCTGTCCCACTAATGGTGTGGCTGCAGCTGAGTGACAAACAGAAACCTCCCACAAACTGAACCAGTAACTGCCCAAGAAACTGGAGAACTGAAATAAGAAACTCATCAACAGGTTCCCAAAAGCCTTTTGTTTTCAAAAGACTGAACATACCAGCTAGGTATGGGCTTTTTAAAAAGTACAAATGAGGCTGAGCACGGTGGCTCACGCCTGCAATCCTAGCACTTTGGGAGGCCGAGGCAGGTGGATCACGAGGTCAGGAGTTCAAGACCAGCCTGACCAATATGGTGAAACCCCATCTCTACTAAAAATACAAAAATTAGCCCGGTGTGGTGTCACACGCCTATAATCCCAGCTACTCAGGAGGTTGAGGCAGGAGAATCACCTGAACCCAGGAGGCAGACGTTGCAGTGAGCGGAGATGGTGCCACTGCACTCCAGCCTGGGCAACAGAGTGAGATTCCATCTCAAAAAAAAAAAAAAGTACAAATGATTAGGATATATCCATGGCACATTTAATAAATGTTTGTTGATAATGATATCACAGGCATGTAGTATTTACTTATGTATATTACTCCTGTGCATATTATTTTTAAAAAGAGTTGCTTCCTATATTTAAAGATCTAAGGATGAACATTTCATGCAATCAGTACATGAAAGTAAAAATCAAAAGAATTGAACAAGTTCAACATCTTGCTAGCTACGGTCATGTACAAAAAATGGAATAAAGAAATAAGCAGTATGTGATTCACTTCTGTTTTGACCCAAGAAGTTTAGGATTTTGACTGGTAGTATATATGATAGAAAAGTATAAAATAAATATAACATAAGTAAATTCTTATTTAAAAAGAGCATCCAGAAGCTAGTATTTCTATATGTTGCCTTAAGTCTCTCTTCATAACCACTCAAATTATCGAGAGCTATAATGGTCAGGAACTCTATCTCCTTTTCTACAGCTAAACATGTTGGTGCTTTAAATTGGGAAACCCAATTTTAAAGCATTACAAGTTTGAGTTATTAAATTAGCAATGTTTTTTTCTTCCAAAATATATTTACATTATTTACTTTTAATAGATAATTGTGGAAAATGAGTGATATGGTTTTGCTTGGTCCCTACCCAAATCTCATCTTGAATTGTAGCTCCTGTGATTTCCACATGTTGGGGGAGGGACCCAGTAGCAGGTAACTGAATCATGGGAGCAGGTCTTTCCCTTGCTGTTCTCATGATAGTGAATAAGTATCACGAGATCTGATGGTTTTATTAAGGGGAGCTCCCTTGCACATGTCCTCTTGCCTGCTGCCATGTAAGATGGGACTTTGTCATTTGCCTTCTGCCATGATTGTAAGACATCCCCAGCCATGTGGAACTGAGTCCATTAAACCTCTTTCCTTTATAAATTACCTAGTCTCAGGTATGTCATTATTAGCAGCGTGAGAACAGACTAATACAGTAAATTGGTACCGGTAGAGTGGGGAGCTGCGATAAAGATACCCAAAAACATGGAAGTGACTTTGGAACTGGGTAACAGGCAGAGCTTGGAACAGTTTGGAAGGCTCAGAAGAAGACAGGGAGATGTGGGAAAGTTTGGAACATTCTAGAGAATTGTTGAATAAAATGCTGATAGTGATATGAACAATAAAGTCCAAGCTGAGGTAGTCTCAGATGGGCATGAGAAACTTGTTGGAAACTAGAGCAAAGGTGACTCTTGCTATGTTTTAGCAGAGACTGGTGGCATTTTGCCCCTGCCCTGGAGGTCTGTGGAACTTTGAACCTGAGAGTGATGAATTAGGACATCTGGTGCAAGAAATATTTCTAAGGAGAAAAGTGTTCAAGAGGTTACTTGGGTACTATTAAAAGTATTGAGTTTTATGTATGCACAACAATATGGTTTGGAATTGGAACTTATGTTTAAAAGGGAAGCAGAGCATAAAAGTTCAGAAAATTTGCAGCCTGATGATGCCATAGAAAAGAAAAACTCATTTTCTGAGGAGAAATTCAAGTGAGCTGTAGAAATTTGCATAAGTAATGAGGAGTCAAATGTTAATTGCCAAGACAATGGGAAAAATGTCTCCATGGCATGTCAGAGATCTTCATGGCAGCCCCTCTCATCACAAGCAGGGAGGCCTAGGAGGAATAAATGGTTTTATGGGCCAGGCCCAGGGCCTTGCTGCTTTGTGCAGTCTCAGGACGAGCCGGTGGGTACACAGAAATCATGGATGAAATTGGAAATCATCATTCTCAGTAAACTATCGCAAGAACAAAAAACCAAACACTGCATATTCTGACTCATAGGTGGGAGTTGAACAATGAGAACACATGGACACAGCAAGGGGAACATCACACTCTGGGGACTGTTGTGGGGTGGGGGGAGGGGGAGGGATAGCATTGGGAGATATACCTAATGCTAGATGACGAGTTAGTTGGTGCAGCGCACCAGCATGGCACATGTATACATATGTAACTAACCTGCACATTGTGCACATGTACCCTAAAACTTAAAGTATAATAATAATAAATAAATAAATAAATAAATAAATAAATAAATAAAAAGAATTGAGTTTTGGGAACTTCCGCCTAGATTTCAGAGGATGTATGGAAATGCCTGGATATCCAGGCAGAGGTGTGCTGCAGGGGCAGAGTCCTCATGGAGAACCTCTGCTAGGGCAGTGCAGAAGGGAAATGAGGGGTTCCAGCTCCCACAGAGTCCCCACTGGAGTATTGCCTAGTGGAGTTGTGAGAAGAGGGCCAAAATTCTCCAGACCCCTGAATGGTAGATCCACTGACAGCTTGCACTGTGTACCTGAAAAAGCTGCAGACACTCAATGCCAGCCTGTAAAAGCAGCCAGGAAGGGGACAGCCCCTGCAAAGCCACAGGGGCAGAGGTGCCCCAAGACCATGGGAACCGGCCTCTTGCATCAGTACAACGTGACTGTGAGACATGAGTCAAAGGAGATCATTTTGGAGCTTTACAATTTGACTGCCTTGCTGGATTTTGGACTTGCATGGGGCCTGTAGCCCCTTCATTTTGACCAATTTCTCCCATGGAATAGTTGTATTAACTGAATGCCTGTACCCCTATTGTATCTAGGAAGTAACTAGTTTGTTTTTGATCTTACAGGCTCATAGGTGAAAGGAACTTGCCTTGTCTCAGACTGAGACTTTGGACTGTGGACTTTTGAGTTAATCCTGAAATGAGTTAAGACTTTGGGGGACTGTTGGGAAGGTGTGATTGATTTGGAAATGTGAGGACATGAGATTTAGGAGGGGAGAGGGGCAGAATAATATGATTTGGCTGTGTCCCCACCCAAATCTCATCTTGAATTGTAGCTCCCAAATGTCATGATGATAGAGACAGGAGGCAGCCAAAGGTTCCGCTACCCTTCATAACCCACCTACCCCAGCCCCCTCCACCCCTGTGAAACCCTACCTTCAAGTCTAAAACAGCCTGAAGGCTGAAAAACCAGACTGCCAATCTGGATGAAGCCCGCCCTTTCCTGATTGACTCTGAATAATGCCCAGCTGTGCACTGGAAGAATGGGACGTAGCCTCAGGAAATGCATGTCATTTGTGGGGGGTGGAGCCTGGCTTCTCCTGTTCCTGGGTGGGGACCTGGGATTCAGTTTGTGAGGTGGGAAACCTGCTCACAGGACTCTTTCCTGCTTTGCTGAGAGTTAGTTTTCCTTTTTGCCTAATAAAATAAATTTTGTTCCCCTTCAACCTTTAACGTGTCTGTGTGCCTAACTTTTCCTGGTTGTGTGACAAGAACCCAGTTTTTTTCTACAACATTTTTGGTGGCCAACATTCGGCTTGAGGAAGGGTGAGTACCGTGCAAACCAACACATCTTTTTTCCTTTTGCTTCTAAGCCTTTTTCTCCTCAGACCTCTTCTGAGGGGAGAGGAAATTGTGCACTACCCCACCCTGATGGCTGCAGGCATACACAGGATGGGCAAATAAATGGTGGGTTCCTCGCTCCCCTCCCTGCCAGGGCTGGGCTGCATGGCCCAAGGGTGCCCAACAGCAGGCTGGTCAATGCTCCCTGCCATGCAACCATGGAGCCTTCCCCTCCCCCGGCCAAAAATTGTACTCTGATTGACTGCAATTAAATATATCTCCCTTGTGGAGGAAACTATTTGCATAAGAATAAGAGGTTCTTCCACAGGTATCTTTTCTTTTCTCCACCCTGTCAACAGGTAACACAGCCCTGCATTTAAACGTCTTTTCCTTTTCTCCACTGGGTCAGCAGTTGACTTAAGCAAGGGTTTTTGTTTTTTGTTTTTTTTCCTTTTGGAAGATGTTTTGCTAGGCCAGGAGTGATGGGGATCATTGTTTATATTTTCTGTAGAGTTTTAATTGTGACAAATTCTTTATGAGGTTGGTTTTAAGCTGTAGCCAATCTGGTATGCTTTGCATGATTTTCTTTTTTTTTTTTAAAGATGGAGTGTCACTCTGTCACCCAGGCTGGAGTGCAGTGGCACCATCTCAGCTCAGTGCAACTTCCACTTCTCTCTCTCAAGTGATCATCCTGCCTTACCCTCTCAAATAGCTGTGATTACAGGCATGCATGCACCACCACACCCAGCTAATTTTTGTATTTTTAGTAGAGACCGGATTTCACCATGTTGGCCAGGCTGGTCGCAAACTCCCGACCTCAGGTGGTTCACCTGCCTTGGCCTCCCAAAGTGCTGGGATTATAGGTATGAGCCACAACTCCAGGCCTTTGCATGACTTTCTGTATGGTCAGCAGTGAACTTTGCTGCAGGCCTCCATCTTGGTTTATGGACTTGGGGGCATGACGTGTAACTCCATGGCAATGTTTTGCTTAGCCTCTGCACAACCCAGGTTCAGTCATGGCTTAGCAACTGAGTCCTTTCAGGTTTGATATCTGTGTAACTTTTCTATTTGTTGATTCTCTTCTCCTCCATGAACCATCTTGGATTTTCCTTTCTCTGAGGCTTTAGTAAAGTTTGAAAGGCTGAAATACTGGCTTCTTGGTATGGCTAAAGTCAGGTAATAGGAGATTTAAAAGGATTTTCTTAAGGAGTGCTCAACTAAATTAAAGATGAATATCTAAGTTACAGGTATATTTAAAAGGCCTTTTTGTTTTATTTTATTTTTTTCTCTTCTGGGATCTTGCTTTGCTGGAAAACGGCTTTTTCTCAGTTGGCTGTATTATTTTTCTCCATTCTGCTTTGCCAATTTTAATGCACACAAGAGAGGGGAGAGATCTCTGTCTTCCTCATTGAACCCCAGGAATTAAAAGTGGATAGATCCCTCTCAAAATCTCTTTTCGCCTCCCAGTAATGCCTGCCTATTAGGCTCTAAAAGCTGCTTGTTTTCCTAGCCCTCCCTCTTAAAGGGACCAATAATCCAAATAGAAGATCAGAAAATGAAAAATCGTATGGCTACTGGGTTTTCTTCTTCCTGTCTGTGTAGTTATATATGTGTTGGGTGTGTAATGTCTATTTAAAAAAAAGGTCTAATTAATTGGCCTAAAAGAAGATAAGTGCTTGGATCAAATATTTTTTAAAGGGTAAAATAAAAGCTGTGGTACCTTTCAGTTCATATGACTTTCATCTTCAAAAAATTTAAACAGCCTAAAAGATTATTGGTAAAGTGCAGATGTCATCAAAATATAAATAGGTGGACTAAATTATGCAGGTCAACTGCTAGGTTTGCTAAATGTTTTAAGGTCATAAACTGCTTTTTGGGTTTTGAGAACTATTTGTCTTGCCTGCTCCACAATTGGTAAGGCCTGGGGACATATAGAAATAACCACGCCCTTAATTATGCTGGAATTAGTCAAACCTTGGATGCACCTAGCACATAATCAAAACAACTTACCAAGTTTTACATTAAAGTTAAAAATTGCTAGGAGTAACCATTATAACATGTAATTGAAACTACTGGAAATAGATTTACATGCAAGCTGTATAAGAACAGTAGGATGTGTTTTTAGTAAAAGATTATAAGAAGGTGTGGAAATGTAAGTTCTTGCTTAGGTTTAAAAGATTGTTTTGAATTTGATAAGATAAAGCTAAAAGTCCAAACAAGTTGTAAAGGAATTGTACAAATTAATCTTGCAAAAATTCAATATGTGAACATATTGACTAAATTCAAAAGGATATTATATGGTTTTCTTGTAAATTGAGCATTAAAGTAAAAGCAAAACAAGGTTCTCTTAAGGCACTAATCTGCTCTTTAGCAAAATTTTTAAGGGGTTATAAAAAGTTTTTTGTTTTTTAAATTTCTGATTCATCATTTTGGCAAAATAAATAACAAGGTAATCTGGAGTTCTATTTCATAATATCAAGTGTTTTAAACCGCTAACACATTTAACAGGCTTCTGAAAATCAAATTCAGTTTCAAAATTTTCTTTCCTGATGCCTGGCTTTTTGATGCTTCAGAGAGCCCTTGGAGTATCCAAAAGAGAGGAAAACAGGATTATTTGACATATTTAGGTATATGAGATTACCAAAATGGTGTTCAATATTCTTTAGGTTATATTTTGGTAAATAATACTAATATGTGTTTCAAATTTGTATGGGATTTTAAAAATTCTAATGTCTGAGTATACGCTATCATAATTAAGGTTTTTATGTTAAATAATTGTAAATGACAGAGATAACCAAGCTTCTTTGTCAATTGTGTTTCTAACTGTAACTAACCTGGACATTTTGTTATTCACAGACAATTTTCTTGTTTTAATTCTTTTCAAAAGATGGCTTATAATAAGCTGTAGAACTCTGACAGGTGCTCTCAAATACAGGTTTCTGATAACTTTGGAATAAAGGGAAAACACACAGAACTCATGAAGAGCTAAAATATTCACAAACCCATAAAAAAACTGAGGCAATCTTTTTGACTTTTGCTTGGAATATTGCTGATCCTTGTTTTTTTTTCAGAGTCAAGGAAACTTATTTTGAACTATTTATGACTTTTAATAATTGAGTAAGGTATACTCCTGTCAACAAAATACAGAGCATGTTTGTCTCTCTGCCTGGCTTCTCCAGAATTTGCAAACTAGTTGTGAATATTCTTAACTTATGGCAATATAAATGTTTGCATCAGTGCAATAAGAATCCATTTTCTTTTGCAAGAGGGTGCAATTGATAAACTAGTTTTTTTACCAAGGTGTTGACTGGAAGGGTATGCTTCCTTTTAAGGAGTCAAGCTCAACTTGCAGAGCCGATAAGAGTTTCTTGAGAAAACTGGCCTCATACCCTTGTCTACACAGTCCCTCTACAGGGTTTCTGACCTGTGGTTAGTAAAGAATGTCACTTTCTTACAGGCTCAGGAGCTCCAAGTTTATCTTGGGACCTTAAGAGGAGACGATTACCCAACTCACAGGTATTTGAGCATATAAACTGATGGCTGGGCTTGGCTTTAAAAAGTCTTATCTGAGATTCCTCGTGGAACAGATTTCCATCAAAACCAATGTAAAAGGCCTATGTAGAAATAGTTATTCCTTCTGCACTTTATGCAAACACTCAGCCCAAGTGTAAGATTAAAGTCTATTTTACAAACAACTCATCCCTATCATGATTTTTTTTAAACAAAATTGAGGATTGGAGAGAGAGAAATTATGTTTCAAAACTTATCACACATTTGTTATTAAATTCTAGACTCATCAGTTGTTTTTAAGTTTTTGCCTACATTTTAGAGTAACCCTGCTTGTTCCTGTGAACCAACCAGTAATCTCCAACTAAAGCTCAGAAGGAGTAAAAGGGATGGGTAATGTCAAAATTTTGGATCAACATTCTAGTTCTGAGCAATTAGCCTGCAAATCCTGCCAGGTGATGGGAATAAATAGGATGCCCATCACCTGGAGGTTTCCTTTTTGGGAAAGTAAGACCAAGGGAGCTAACCAAAGCCAAGCCCCATGCACCCAAATCTTAGCAAAGATAACTATAGCCACCAGTTATCTGGGCATGTCACAAGACGCCCTCTTCCTTGTTGGAGGAGGACTCAATTCCACAGCCTCACCTAAGCATTTGGCTTATAATAAGAAATCCATGCTAGCCTCTGAGACACATTTTTGTCCCAAACTCAATTCTAAGCTTCACATCAAAGCCCTGGGGGCAGGGGGAACTGGATCTGAAGGACCCAGATGCAGATGATAATGCAAGTTAAAAGGCACAATGCAGATGAGTGTGACTGATTCCTGCTGAATAAGCCAAGCTTCCCATTTCATGAATAAAGGTCACACTAGTATCCATGGCATAAATGAGGTCTGGAGAATCCAAAGGCTATGGACAGCAGGGGAGATAGGGTATACAAGGGTAAAAGCGAATACTCTCACCCCCAGACCCCCCTGTTAACACAAGTGAAGACCACTTTGACACCCACCCTGTCACAGTATCTGGGACTTGGGGATACAAGGAAGGAGGAATCTGCTCCCCTTTTTGTAGATGAGTAGCCATTCATCATTAGTCTGTATACCTTTCTTTCTTTTTTTTTTTTTTTTTTTTTTTGAGACAGAGTTTCACTCTTGTTGCCCAGGCTAGAGTGCAGCAGCGTGATCTTGCCTCACTACAACCTCCACCTCCTGGGTTCCAGCAATTCTCTTGCCTCAGCCTCTCGAGTAGCTGGGATTACAGGCATGCACCACCATGCTTGGCTAATGTTTGTATTTTTAGTAGAGACAGGGTTTCACCATGTTGGCCAGGCTGGTCTCAAACTCCTGACCTTAGGTGATCTGCTTGCCTCGACCTCTCAAAGTGCTGAGATTACAGGCATGAGCCACTGCACCCGGCCATCTGTACCCCTTTCAAATGCATCCTGAGTTTCTAGGACCCCTTTGAAAAAAAAGACCCTTCTTTTTTCGTGTTTCTCCTCTGTCCTCTCTTCACAGATAGGTAATTGTGTTTCCGTACTATGGGACACCTCACCCAGATGCATTCTCCAAACTGGGGAGAGTTAATTTCTCAAACTTTAACCTAGTTTGCTTAGGATTGGGCTCAGGGGAAGGGAACCCAGAAGCCTGACATGCTGGCTAAAGGGTAAAAGTTTTTTTTTTTTTTTTTACCAGTTAGGTTTTTGGCCTCCCTCTCCCTGTGCAAACTGGTAAAAGGCCTCAGAATTTTTTAGCTGTCCTCAACCCCACCCCCATTTTGTTTTGATACATGTTTTCTATAACCTGGTTTATTTCTCACCTTCAGGCAATCAAACTCCAAACGTTCATGCAACTGGAGACTTGGATGAGGGCCCCTTTTGCCAGGGACCCTTTGATAGGCTTCTGAGGGAGCTCTGACTGCCGTTTTCCCCAAGCAGTGCCCCCTGTCAGCAGAAAGCAGTTCAGATGAGTCTTTGTCCTTATCCTTATTCCAACAGCAGTTAGGTATACTTCTTTAGAGGGGGAAATGATAGAGACAGGAGGCAGCCAAGGGTCCCCCAGTGAAACCCTGCCTTCAAGCCTAAGATAGCCTGAAGGCTGAAGAACCACACTGCTGGTCCGGGATGAAGCCTGCCCTTTCCTGACTGATTCTTTCTGAATAGTGCCCACCTGTGCACTGGGAGGATGGGATGGAACCTTGGAAGTGCATGTTGTTTGCAGTGGGGAGGAGCCTGGCCTCTCCTGTTCCTGGGTGGGAACTTGGGATTCAATCTGTGAGATGGGAGACCTGCAAACAGGACTCTATCTTGCTTTGGTGAGAATTAGTTTTCCTTTTCATCCAATAAATTCCATTCCCCCTCACCCTTCAAAGTGTCTGTGTGCTTAACGTTTTCTGGTCCTGTGACAAGAACCCGGTTTTTTGTTTTTTGTTTCTAAAACAATGGGTGGAACCTGACGGGAGGTAATTGAATCATGGGGGTGGGTCTTTCCCATGCTGTTCTCATGACAGTGAATAAGTCTCACAAGACCTGACGATTTTATAAAGGAGAGTTCCCCTGCACACGTCTTCTTGCCTGCTCTCATGTAAGATGGTACTTTGTCCTCATTCATCTTCTGCCATGATTATGAGGCCTCCCCAGGCATGTGGAACTGTGCATCAATTAAACCTCTTTCCTTTATAAATTACCTAGTATCAGGTATGTCTTTATTAGCAGTGTGAGAACAGACTAATACAATGAGTAAACTCATTTTAATTAGTCTTTCTAGAAAAGGTGCCAATCTGAAGAATTTCTTAAATGAGTAACCACAGCATAGGTTATAATGCATAAAATATTGAAATAATCCATGAGTCCACAAATACATTTAAAAACATTTAAAAATTAGGAACATCAGAAGATGACGTTCTTTTATACAAATGAGTGCCAACAAATAAATATAGAAAGAATGCTAGAAACTGAAAAGTCATCATCTTGAAACATCATAAAAGTAATTATTTCAGACAGGATTCATTGATTTATGCTAATAACATTGTGTGAAAGATCGGGAACAAAATACTCTAACCTAAAATAACTGCCTCTACAGATTACTTGTTAGTTACAAAAAGAAAAAGGTACATTTACAAAGTAGAAATTTTGCAGACATCTCCTTAATCAAGAGATCAAAATTACTGTCACCAAATATAGGAGAACCTGAGATCACATGCTTCCTGATATGTACACGCACTGTGAAGGATACAATATCACCTATGCATTATTCCTATTGTAGGTATTTGACCTGAACTTAATCATGAAGAAGAAAACAACTCTTAACTGAGAGGCATTTTGCAAAGCCTCTGAGATGGATACTTTGAAAATAGCAATGTAATGATAAGACAAAAAAATAAAAAAATTAATTAATGTCTAGGGAAATTTTCTGGATTAAGGGAGACTAATAGACATGCAAACTAAATGTCAGCTGTGATTCTTGATTGTGTTCTGGATTAGGAAAATTAAACATCATAAATTTAATTTGAGGAAGAATTTTGAAAATTTGAATATGAATTGCATATTACATAAAGTGCTGTATAAAAGTTAAGTTTTCTAAATGAGATCACTATATTGTATTTATGCAGGAGGATATCCTGCTTAAGAGATGGGAAGTTCATACATTTAATAATGAAGATACAGCAAATGTGGGAAAATGTTAAAAATCATTGAATTAAAGTAAAGTATATGTGGGTATTCCTTGTACAATTTTTGTAACTTTGCCATAAGTTTGTACTTTTTAAAATAAAATGTTTGAAAAATTACAATAATTTTCATCATAATATGCAATAAAAAGGACAAACTTCTTTTTTTGAAAAAATTTTTTTTGAGGCTGAATCTTGCTCTGTCACCTAGTCTGGAGTGCAGTGGTCTGATTCCAGCTTACTGTAACCTCTGCCTCCTGGGTTCAAGTGATTCTCATGCCTCAGCCTCCTGAGTAGCTGGGATTACAGGTGTGCACCACAAGGCTGAGCTAATTTTTGTATTTTTAGTAGAGATAAGGTTTCCCCATGTTTTCCAGGCTGGTCTCGAACTCCTCACCTCACGTGATCTCCCCACTTTGGCCTCCCAAAGTGCTCAGATTACAAGTGTGAGCTACTACGCCCAGCCCAGGGACGGACTTACTCACTCATTGAGCATCATTTTTCTTTGCAGTTGGATAGCTAAACAAACAAAACAGGCAAAAAGTCCTTCCTTTGTAGAACTTCCATTCTTTCTCCTTATTTCTGAGCTTCCATTGTTAAATAGATGAGGGTGGGGAATGATAATAAGTACTGGATTTGATATTTTGTAGTCTCTTTCCTCACTACATGGAATTATTTCAGATGCATGAATTTGTTTGCTTTGAATAGATATACCGTGGCTAATTTCTTCCACCTAGAGCTCTATAAAAATATTGTAATAAAAACACTAACCAACAACACTTATGCATAGTCCATAACAGAAATGGCCCTATTAGTTCTGTCTTTTGTATTATTACAGACCCAAAGCAAGACACCACTGAACTATTTATTACTTTAAAAACATTCTAAGCTGTGAGGTTGCTTTGGTTTTTCCTTCTGAGATTAAGAATAAAATATCTATTTCAGATTTTTAAAAAAGCATTCCTTAGATTGTCTTTGTTTGCAGGCCTTGTAGGCACTATCTTGTTTGTCTAAATCTAAAAAGATTAATTATATCATTATTAATGGTCATGTATCACCAACAGAAAATAAAATATAAAATTTTAATTTAAAGCTAAATTAAAAAGTATTAGTCAAAGATTTTTTATACCTTTAGATATATGCCAATTTAACAGAATCAAAATTTGTATTAAAACACATAAGACTTTTTAAAAATAGAATTAACAGGAAATATTTGACTAACACATATTTATGTGTCTATATAACTGGTAATGGGTCAGAAAGAATATACTCCTCTAGACACTGCATATTGTTTTTAATGTTGCTTAGGCTCTAATTTCAAATGCAGGGTCAGATAAAAGTTGGTTGCATTGTTTTTCTATGCATGCTTTTTAATTTCATCCTTTGCATTTATTAACACTAATAGGTAGTTTTTTTTTCTTGTTATTGTTGATGCTACCTGTTCAGAGGTATTGGATAATAATTATTCAGAACTCTAGATTTTCACTGGGTTTTGTTTTGTCATGTAATTACCTACCTTATGTGTGTAGGTATTTGGGTGGTATGGGAGAGAGGAAGAAAATTTGAAATCTATCTTTTTAAATTTTTTTCTTATTTTTTTTTACAAGTCCCTCTCAATGAAAATCTACCTTTGTCAAACACATTTGCTATTCAAAACAACTTTAATGACCAGATGAAGTAGAAGGAAGGAAAGTGGGCACTTCCATATTTGTTTTTAATGAGATATCTTAGAAAGTTAAGGAACTTGAGGTCACAAAGGAGAAGCAAGGTATAACTGTGAAGAGGATACTGGCTTTGATTTCAATTAGGGGAGATGAAGGAAAATGGAAGGAGATTTCCTAACTCAACAGAGAAGATGGAATTTAAATTTACCAAAATCAGTAATAAGGTAGAAGTGAGAATGAAGTACTTTCAAAGCTAAAGACAGAAGGAGAAAAGTGTTTAAAAGCTAATTTTAAAGTAAAAGAGAGATGAGGAGTTACCAGATTTGTGTGAGAAAGAGCAAATACATTTACTGTTTTTAAATATCATAGAAGAGAGGAACAAATTTGAGTAAATAAGTTTAAGAAGAAGCTTGCTTTCCCCTTATTATTTGTTAATCAGCAAGATAGTGGGGAAAATGTCTTCAGGACATGTCAGAGACCTTTATGGCAGCCCCTCCCATCACAGGCCCAGAGGCCTAGGAGAAAAAAATGGTTTTGTGGGCCAGGACCAGGGTCCCCCTGCTATGAGCAGCTTAGGATCTTGGTGTCCTGTTTCCCAGCTGTTCCAGCCATGGCTAAAAGGGCCAAGGTACAACTCAGGCCATGGCTTCAGAGGGTGCAAGCCCAAAGCCTTGGCAGCTTCCATGTGATGTTGAGCATGTAGGTGCACAGAAGTCAAGAATTTAGATTTGGGAACCTTCACCTAGATTTCAGATGATATATGGAAACACCTGGATGTTCAGGCAGAAGAGTGCTACAGGGGCAGGGCCCTCATGGAGAACCTCTGCTAGGGCAGTGCAGGAGGGAAATGTGGGGTTGGAGCCCCCACAAAGAGTGAGAAGAGGGCTGTGAGAAGAGGGCCACTGTTCTCCAGACCCCAGAATGTTAGCTCCATCAATAGCTTGCACCATGCACCTGGAAAAGCTCCAGACACTCAATGCCAACCCATGAAAGCATCCAGGAGGGGGGCTATACCCTGCAAAGCCACAGGGTTTGGAGCTGCCCAAGGCCATGGGAGCCCACCTCTTGCATCAGCATGACCTGGATGTGAGACATGGAGTCAAAGGAGATCATTTTGGAACTTTAAAGCTTAATGACTGCCCTATTGGATTTTAGACTTGCATGGGCCCCATAGCCCTTTTATTTGTGCCAATTTCTCTCATTTGGAAATGAGTGTATTTACCTAATACCTGTACTCCGTTGTATCTAGGAAGTAACTAACTTGCTTTTGATTTTACACACTCATAGACAGAAGGGACTTGCCTTGTCTCAGGTAAGTCTTTGGACTACAAAATTTTGAGTTAATGCTGAAATGGGTTAAGACTTGGGGCACTTTTGGGAAGACATGATTGGCTTTGAACAATGTGAAGACATGAGATTTGGCAGGGGCTAGGGGCAGAATGAAATGATTTGACTGTGTCCCCACCCAAATCTCATCTTTAATTATAGCTTCCATAATTCCCATGTTCTGTGGGAGGGACCCTGTGAGAGTTAATTGAATCATGGAGGCGGGTCTTTCCCATGCTGTTCTCATGAGAGTGAAACAGTCTCAAGAGATCTGATAGTTTTATGAAGGGAAGTTCCCCTACACAAACTCTCTTGCCTGCCTCCATGTTAGATGTAACTTTGCTCCTCTTTCACCTTCCACCATGATTGCGTGGTCTTCCCAGCTATGTGAAACTGTGAGTCAATTAAACCTCTTTCTAAATTACCCAGTCTTGAATATGTCTTTATCAGCAGTGTGAGAACAGAATAATACATAATTTAACCCTAAAGAAGAGCTCTTTAATGGAGAAATTCATATATCATGAAATTTATCCTATTCCTGAAATCTTTACTGTGATAACTGAGGACCTCTAGCCAGATTCCTTACTTACATCACTTGGAATTAGTTTGCCTCCGTATAAGACTAGTTTGAACTTATAGTGCTGAGTTTACAAGTTTCCAAATATATGCAAAATATACGTAATCATACTGATGATTAATGGTGAGATGCTTATAAAATGGTGAGTCTAACAAGCTCTATTAGGTACAGATACATGCAATCACTGAATTCTGTCAAGAGATGATGCCCTTTATGCACAATAATGCACATTCTTCCATTTATTATTCAATATAATAAATTCTAACAATTTTCCAAAAGTGTTCATATAAAAAATAATCAGACTTTATGTTTTAGTAAGTTGTTTGTTTTCAGTAATCATTTATTCTTGAGCAGATATTTTTTGGTGTTTTATTTTGTCATGTTTATTGGCTATTATTTCTGTTAGAAACAGCTTCTGTTACTAAGAAAGAAACACCGACAAGGGAAGACACCTTTCCCATAAAAAAAAATTTATTCCAGCTGCGTTTTGATTTGAAGTTGAATAAAGACAAAGGTAAAAAGAAAAGCTAAGAAGACGTTCCCGGGTGAGTCATTGGAGTGTCAACTAGCCTGGTCAGGGGCTGCTGCTTAACTACACATATTTGATAGGAAGTGTCCCTTTAACTGTGAGAAAATGGTTTCCTAATGATACTTTTTGCTTTTCACTCATGAAATCACTCTGGGTTAGCTTCTCATCAGTCCATAAATGCCCATACCTGGTTCTGTCAACATTTTTGGTTTTCAGATTATGTGCTTTATGAGGCAAAACATAGCAACACAAACATTTAAATTGCTTCCATGTTTTACAACCTCAACTGCTGTATTTTATATAAAGGGCACAAAATGAATACTGTTATTGATGAAAATTGGGTTACCCTGAGGACTCTTGCTTAACTGAAATCACAAATGGAGCAGACAGAAAAATCAAAAGTATATGCTGAGAACGGTGAGTAAAGAGTGAACTCCTCAGAGCAGTAATATTTTTCATTTCTAGAGGCCAGAAGTAAGAAAAGAGAGATTTTTTTTCTTCATTTGGGAAATTTGATTTCCAATGTTACTTGAACACAATATAAGTAATATAAGTTTTAAAAATGAATAGTTTTACTTAGAAAAAAAGTTATTTGTATGAGGGACTCAAAAATAGTTTTAAAATATTACTATATGCCAGAATCTGATTTTGTTTCTTTGTTTTGTTTTATTTCTTTTGGTTTCTATTTATCCTGGGCCTGCAGGTTTTATTTTTTAAATGTAACAAAGCTGATTTGATGTTCCTCAAAATGCTTCTATGTTGATCAGCACTCAATGCAAGGTCTAGTTGTCATAATGACACTGTATATACTCCAGTCAGGAGAGTAAGAAGTTTCTGCTTTGCAAACTAGTGGGCCATTTATTCAACCAATTTTAATCTTCCTGACAGTCATACATTTACCTAAAACAATAATAAAAAAAACTCTATTAAAACACTAGAAAATAGTTGGTATTACTCCAGAAAGGCCAAACCAATTGTCAAGGATTAGATGTATATTAAATGGGCTGATTTTTGACAGGCAAACTTGAAAGTTAAATGTTTTGGGGTAATGCTTGCAACTAGCCACACTTTGCTTGTCAGTAACTAGTTACTACATTAGTCTTCCCCTTCTAATAGTTTTGATCCCTATTCTAGGAATGGTACAAGTTATCCAGAGACTGAGTTGTTCTTTTATCAGAGTAAATTCTTCGCATATGTTTGCAAGTCATGACTAAAGAATACACAAAAGAGCATATTTAAATATATTTTGCTAATTAGTAACAATAACTTTTTTCTTGTTTCTGATTTTTCTCTGGGATTATGCCAGTTACTTGATACATGTTCATTAATTTTATACTAAAAACAACATTAATAACGGTGCTATTCTAAGATTTTAGTCCAACTTCAAGCTAATCATATTAATACAAGCTATCCTGCTTAGTGAATAATAATCATAATATAATTTGTAAAATAATAATAATATAATTTGTAAGTGAATGAAATGGACTCCCTTAGAAAATGTTAATAGACACCTTTTTATAGCATATGTCCTATAACTGAATAAAAAGCTTAGCTAATTGATTGGTTATTTATGTTGTATTAAATAATGATTTAATAGTAAATGAAGCTTGAAACATCTTGTAAGTAAATTAATGCTGGATAGTTGAATACCTATATTCCAAAAGTATTATTTTGGCAAAGGATATAAAAGTTAATTCACCTAATTATGAACATATATAAAGCCATTAAGAACTAATTTTTTAAGATACTTTTAAAGCTTTTTAAAATTCCTGAATATTTTACTATTTACCACATCACCACTACATTAGCAGAATAATAAAAATAGCTAATACCCTTGAGTACTTATTATGATCTAGATAATGTGCTAAGCTCTCTCCAGGTATTATCAACAAATTTAATACAACAAATTCATAAGGCAGATACCATTGCTGCCATTTGACAGAAAAGGTATAAGACTAAGAAACTTGGCTAAAGTTGTGCAGGTTATAAGAGGCGAGGAATGGACCGGAAGCCTGATCTTCCATTGTGAAGCCCATCTCATGCTCTTAACTATATTGAACCTTTCCCTCCACAAAGGGATTCATTGCCTCTTCTCCTATGAACAAATGGAAAGAAATTTAACCAAAATAAAATTGTCAACATATCATATATTGCCAAAAAAATTTAGTGTTACCTTCCCTGGTTCTTACCAATGAATATCAATAAATATTATTGATTGATTCCTGATAGACTTGAAATGATGAATTAATTCCATGAAGAGGTAGAAAATAGATTACTTAACTAATACTACAACTGAACACTGAACATTCTGACTAAACAACCAACAAAATATAAAATAGTTGTACATTAAAGAATACGAGAATGAAAGTTACATTTACCATAAATTATACCACCATAGGACAAACATTAGTTAAGAACAGATTACTTTTAGCCATACTTAGGACTGTCAGAGGAATCAGCCTCATTTTGTTCATGACTTCTAAAGGACTTTCAGAGAGAAAGAGCATTTTAAAAATAAGAGTTAATATTTAAAGTTTATGAATTGTTGTAACCAACTTGGTTTTAAAGCTGGAAGTCACCTATTAATACCATACCACTAACACATTTACATTAATAATAGCCGTTCTATGAATAGCATTAGCATCTTCTCAATAAACCCATGTAGCCAACACTTACACTTCTTGATTCCTGAATAAATCATGCAACAAAAGATGAATTTTTAGTTTCTATGAATTACAAGTAAAAAGAGTCACCTCTTTAAATTATGTGAGTTGTGTTTTTTTACGGATAGCATTAAGGTTTCCTAATTACTTTTTTTTGTTTAATCATTTTATGGGCAAAACCTTAAGGACTCTTAGAAAAGATAAAGCTTTGCCTTTCAAAGAAACCACTGCCATCTCCCACTGAGCGAAAGAAGTTTGACCATGACTTTGCCATCTCCACTTCCTTTCATGGGATACACAATATTGTTCAGAACCGGAGCAAAATTCGCAGGGTGCTCTGGTTGGTGGTGGTTCTGGGCTCAGTCTCACTTGTGACATGGCAGATCTACATTCGCTTGCTCAACTACTTCACATGGCCAACCACAACGTCCATTGAGGTTCAATATGTGGAAAAGATGGAGTTCCCAGCTGTGACATTTTGTAATTTGAACAGGTAAAAATTACTTTTTTAAAAATAATTAGTTCCTATAAATTTGCTAGTATAATCTTTCTTGGATGACTGACAAAGAGTTTTCTCATGTGGAACTTATCATATGTAAAACCACTGAATTAAATTGCACTTAAATTGCACTCAAAAGCACAAATTTAAGGGAGCAAAGAATTCATTAATTTCTTCTTTCACTTATTTTCCATCTTTTCTTCCTTCCTTCCACAATCATATTCTAGGTAACATCCCAAATCCTATCATTAAATAGATGTAAAAGAGATGGGGGTTTCACTACATTGCCCAGACTATTCTCAAACTCCTAGGCTGAAGCGATCCACCTGCCTCAGCCTCCCAAAGTGCTGAAATTATAGATGTGAGCCACTGTGCCCAGCCAGATGTAAAGTCTTGATCCCTGCATATTAGAAGTTCATTAATTAGCAGAAAAGAGAAACATCAACAATCATAGTGCAATATGGTAATTGCACAACAAAATAAAACAATGTGCAAGGGCTCTGAAATCCCACAGAACAGATTAATAGTCTCCATCTTGGGTGTTATGGAAATCTGGGTATTAAAAGATGATTACAGCTTTCTAAGTGGAGATGAAGAAGAAATGGAAGAGGGAACTACTTTGCAAACACATAACGATATAAAATGTTCTGGTGTACATATGATGAGCTACTTAATGTAGTAGAGGCAAGGCCAGCTCCACGGGTCTGTGATCAGTGCGGCTGCAAAGAGCCCTGAGCTTAGAAAAGGGTTACACTTGATTCAATGCTCTACTGCCAGTGTCTTGAGTCCTTGACTGCAACTCATTCCAGAAACCTGCAGTCCATTGACTGTACACCAAATCTGCTAAGAGGAGGACAACTTTCCACCACTAGGCTTCCAGACAATGCTTTGTAATTGCCTGTGGTGAAGCATGAAATACCATACATAGGATTTTTGCTGAGGAAGGGAGGGCTTCTTAAGACTCACCACTTAGCTATTAGGGAAGTCACTCAGCCTTCTTAGTGTTAATTTTCATATTTATAAAATGAGATAATATCATCTACTTCACATATTTGTTGTTACATTAGATAAGGTAATAAGTACTCCATTGTGTTTCATTCCTGGGGGACTTCTAGAACAGGTGTTCAATATATAATAGATGTTATAGCCCGTTTGTATGATTGTCAATATTTCAAGAACTCAAGATATGTATCAAGGGTCCTAACAGTCGAAACAAATCAATCCTTTCCCCCCAAAAAATGATTTTCAATACTATTGCTTCATACTGTTTTAAGTAGCATGTGTTCTAACAAAAACAGAGATTGGTTGCAGTTATCCTTGACTGAAATAAAATGTAGATATTACTTCCAGAATGGCAAAGTGAGGAAGTCCATAAACTCTATCCCCTTCAAAACCAACCATAACTGGTGAAAAAATATTTATCTTAAAAGGCAAACTTTTCTTTTAAAAAAGAAACATTTAAATAGTATCTCCTCAAATTCAAGTCTACTGGAACCTCAGAATGATCATATTTTAAAATTGGGTCATTACAAATATAATTACATAAGTTGAGGTTATACTGCACTAGGATGAGCCCTAAATCCAATGACTGAAGTTCTTATAAGGAGAAGAGAGAACACACAGAGATACAGCAGGGAAAATTCATGTGAAATAGAAGCAGAAATTGATAAGGTTTTGCCACAAGCCAAGGTATACTTAGGACAAAAGGCATAAGACATAGAGAAAACAAAAAGTAAAACGGCAGATGCAAATCTAACTATATTACTAATGAAATTAAATTAGAATGGATTAGACAATCCAATTGAAAGGCAAAGGTTATCAGAATGGATTTTTTTAGAAAGATCCAGCTATATGTTGTGTGCAGGAGACACAATTTAGATTTGAAGATGCAAATGGGTTAAAAGTAAAAGAATGGAAAAAGGTATGTCAACCTTCAGAAAGCTAGAGTAGATATCCTAATCTCAGACAACATAGACTTTAAAGTAATATATGTTACCTGATATAAAAAATTGTCATTTTATGTTGAATAAATGATCAATCTATCAGGAGATATAAGTTAACCTATATAGTTAGATTTTTCAATACCCCACTTTTAGTAATCAATAGAACAACTTGACAGAGAATAAACAAGGAAATAGAAGACACAGAAGACTTAAACATCTTTATAAACCTACTAGACTTTGCAAACATCCTTAGAACACTCTACTCAACAATAGCAAAATATGCATTCTTCTCATGTGCACATGGCACATTCTCTTAGAATGGACCATATACAAGGCCATATACAAGGTAAAGTAGGTGGAAAATATTTTAAATTATTCAAATATGTTTATCAATCACAATAGAATAAAATTAGAGGTCAATAATCAAAATTAATTTGGGATATTCACAAATATGTAAATATTAAACAATGCACACCTAAATAACAAAGAAGTCAAAGAAGAAATCACAAAAAAAATAGAAAATACTTTGAGATGAATGAAAATGAAGACACAACATACCAAACTTTTGAGATGCAGCTAAAACAGTGCTTATAGGGAAAGTTGTAACTGTAAACAGCTAAATTAAAAAGAAAAAGAAGTCTAAAAATACTTAATAGCCTATGATCTAAGTACTTTTATAATTTTGGGTATGGAAACCTAATCCATTTTGCATAGCTCAAATCTCAAATCAATGATTACAGCTTTTGTGTTAGATGACATTGAAAAAAAGATAATATATCCTAGTTCAGTTAGATATAAGTATCCAGACCAACAAAAGAAGATTTAATATTTTAGAGGCTATAATGATAGAACAGGAAAATTCTTAATTATAAGAAAATTATTCTTCCTTAGGGAACAAAAAATTAAGACAATATCAGTTTACAGGCATGAAAGGTATCTCCAGCTCCCAAAGTATAATTTTACAGAAAGATAATTTGGATTCCCACTTTAAACATTATACTCAGCATTGCTCAGCAAATTAATGACAGATCAGGAAAAGTACTCAAGCTATTTTCTAGTTCTCAGAGCCAATGATCTTCAAATATTTTAGTTAATGTGCTATATAAAAAATTTGAAAAACTGTGTATTTAACTTGCATATGTCTACATTTTTAGCCATAACCCTAAGTATATTTATTTATTATTTTTAGGAGGTGAAAAATATTGTATTTTATATCAAATTATATTATCACAAACATAAGTATTATATATCATTATATTTATGAGATAAAATAGGATAAGGATTTACTGTAATAGGAATAAACATTTCATATATTTTCATGAAATTTTAACTGCTTTATTGACTAAAATACACCAGTAGAAATCATTTAAATTTTTATCTGTGGATTATATTCAAATAACCCAAAATGTGGAAGCCTTAACAAATAGTCTAGTTACATTTAAAATAACAACTTTCATTATTCTACTTAAGACTTTGTCAATTCAGTCTTAAGCAAGGGCCAAATACCCTGTGTCTAACGCAGAACTTCACTCTAGCTACAAATATGTGTATGACAAGCCAAGACAAGATTTTAGGAGCTTTGATTAATTTTTAAAGGAGTCTTCCCCTGAAGCAAAATACAATTTGTATTCCTATGTTAGGAGCCCTGAGGTTGTTACACACCAGTATGCATTCTGTGTTAAGATTTGTGATGGGTGACAAGTTAATACTTTTCTATATATGGGAGAAGAACCATTGTAAAAAGAGGATGGAAACATTTATTTCCTTAAAATTCTCTGTGCAGGAGAACACTCAGACATAGGCACATTCTAGTTTGAAGCCCATTGTTCTAAGTTGCATTTTCTCTAATTCTTTTGAAAAAAAAGTAAAGCTTAACACTGTAATTTAATTAGAGTTTACCAAGTTAGAAACTGGACAGGTCTGCTGATAGATCCCAATTTCTATACTTTTTTTGTTTAACCACCTTGTGAGTAGAAAATGGACACCTGAGATGAAGAAACTTTGCCAAGTGACTTTGGATTATAAGAAAGGGTTTACTTTTCACAATTGGTACCAGGACCCTATACCAAGTGTATGTCAGAGATCCCTTTTTAATACTTCCCTCCTCTATATGACAAAATTTTTTTGGTAATAGTCATGAAATCAAACAAATAATGAAAATGGCCTATATATTCATGTCAATAAAAATGTTAAAAAATAAAATAAACAATACAAAAATAAGAAAAAGTAATGCATTAATACTTTTTGGACACTGACATATTTTTGTTTTTTAAAGTTTTTAAAATCTGTTCCAGTTGTGAAAGTAAAATAAAATCTCAGGACCCCCAACTCACGATGCCAAAGGGAAAAGTTAAGCTTGGGAACTGCGTCACACACAACTGCTTCCCATTTTGTTCCTAAATAGATAACTGCAAAGATAGAAGGCACATACCTTCTCAGGGGCCCTCTCTTACAATTTTCTCACAGAAAATCTCCTGCGGGCCCCAAGATCCTTACTGTAAAATGAAGTTGTACTGAATTTCACCCTGAGAATATAAATCAACAGCTTATCTTCACAGGTACAGGACAAATATAGAACTAGAAGTCATCCCTCTACTCACCTGAGGCAAATGCGTATTTGACTTCTTCCTCTGGTCTATGTTTACTTTATCCTATATAAAAATGAAGATTCACTGAGCACCAGACAAACACATAGTTGACTATTCTACTACCCACTCCTTTCACAGGTAAAATGTAAATTCAGTGAAATTGATCAAAGCTTCAAAAGAATGCAACTGCTTGCCTTTATTATCCACCCTCCCCTTTTTGTTCTTTCCTTTTTCCCCTACTGCCCACGCTTTCCGCTTTAAATATTGTGTCTCCAAACCCTCTTAGGAAAAAGCATGGATCACAGATATTTCTGTGATTTTGTTTCTTTTCCCCAGGTTCATCCTCAACCTTAGCAAAATAAACCTCTAAAATGATTGGGGCTCCCCTCAGACATTTTCTTTAGTTTTACACAGAAATGAATAATAGCATTGTATTTCCATTTTTTAGCCTCTTTATGAATATTTGTCAACGACTTCATCAAAATTAACTTTATCCATGTATTGATGTTCCATAGCACAGCCATATTAGTCTAGTTTTACTTGTAATTGATTAAAGAATACTTATTAATTTTAATTTTCAAAAGTTTCTTTCACATGAAGCAATGGTTATACAAACAGAAAGACAAACTCCTAAGAATACAATTGGCAGAAATTCATAAAAAGTCACATTTCACAAAAAATTCCAGAAATTGTAATACTGTTTGTGACTTGGTTCTTTGGTATCAATTCTAGTGCTTTTCAAATGTCTTTGTGTCTAAAATTTTCACTAAAATATCTTTATAACAAAATTCATCAAAAATTTATATTCATTTGGTAAAAACTTCAGAATTTTATTTTCTTCCACTAAAATCAGAAATAATAATTGGATGTAGTGACTACTGATGCTATTTGATCCATTGTTTATGAGTAACTCGTATATTGGGTCTTCATGTTTATAATCACTGTGATTCTTTGTTTATTTCAAATTTGTTTGATGCAAGAAAAAATTGCTCAAGCATTTTTAACCAAAGGTAAAATCATTGCTTCTCATACAAATATAAAGACACAACAAAGGTTTCATTAGTTAATTAAAGAATGGTAAGACATTAAAATTTGCTCAAAGAAGAATACAAAAGGCAGACATTATTCCTCATTTTCCTTCTTCATAAAATCATCTGTAAAATGTACGAGAAATGGATCTGTTTTGGCAGGACTCAAATAAGGCCTGAGTCAGGCATCAACTTGGATTTTAGATGAAACTTACTCATTTGGGTCATATAACTTGGAGAAGTACATTTAGAACCATTGATATACATAAGAAAGACATATCTAATAACTGGTTAGCAGATGTTAAATTGTTTAAACAAATTAATATATTTTTGGTGTTATTTTCTTCTACTAGGCTCTTACCAGTTGTGTTAAATTAGAGTAAGTCAAATTCTAGCTAAGCAAGGTTTTTGAAAGGAAAACTTAGAAGAGTTTTGAAGTTCAATTTAAAATTAAAAATAAGCCAGACACAGTGGCTAGTGCCTATAATCCCAGCACTTTGGGAGGCCAAGGTAGGCAGATTGCTTGAGCTCAGGAGTTTGAGACCAGGCCAGGCAACATGGTAAAACTCTGTCTCTACAAAAAATACAAAAATTAGCTGGGCATGGTGGTGTACACCTGTAGTTCCAGCTATGTGGGGGGCTGAAGTGGGAGGATTGCTTGAGCCCAGAAGGTCAAGGCTGCAATGAACCATGTTTGTGCCTCTGCACTCCAACCTGGGCAACAAATTGAGACTCTGTCTCAAAAAATAAAATAAAATTGAAAATAAACTCAGTGCAAAACACTTTTGTTTTATGCAAAACAATATTTCTCACAAAAAATTTTCTTCCTTGGCTTAATATTGTTAGGCTTTATTTATTAAATTTAATTAATCTATATAAATTACTCTCATGGTCTCAAATATTATTAGTATAATAAAAAAAGCTTAAAAATATTTTAAGATGCCCTCCTATTTAACTTTTTTGTAGATTGTATTCATTGCTCCCATATGTATAGTAATTCCTTTATTTCTCTGCATAATCATTTTGAATATAATCCAATGAATATATTCAGGGAATACTGGCTCTGACTGTGCAGGATTTCACAGTTGTAGGGTTTTGGAGCAGATTGTTGGGAACCTGTCTGTCACTGGGAGTTGGAAACCTGAAGTAGCTTGGAGGTCCATCTCTCAATATAGGGTTTACACTGTACTTCTGCCAAAATCTGTTCCTGATGTAAACTCTTAATTCCTTAATGATCCAAGAAATACTTTTGACCAAGAAATGCAAGGTTATTAGATGTACTGTAGTTAGACAGAATACCACCATGACAGATGACCAATAGTGCCTTGGAATCAGGAAGTCCGAGGAGGATATTTACAGAGTTTTAGGACCTGGGCTAGCTTTGCAAGTATCAGAGCTAGTTAAGCAAGCTACAATATTAGTTATTGACTGTGAAAACAGTTTTTCATCTCTTAAAGAGTATGTAATGTTGGCTTGAGGTTGTTTCTCCATTTTTGTGTTTTGTGTATGCCCTACCTTGACTGAGAAAGGATTTAATATGGCTTGAATTTGAAAGAAAAATTATATGTATACATTGTGGGGGCCATGGGTGTTGGCCCCCTAAAGATAGGCTGAAAAATTAGTGACATGAGGCAGATTTATTAATAGAAGAAAAGGCTTACAATGATATTTAATGTGTATACACATGAGCCTTCAGAATAAAGCCCAACATCCCAACCGGATACAGAGGCTTATTTATCATCTTGAGATTATAGAAAGAATGTGGGCTCAGAACATTACTGAAAGCAGGTTTTAACACCAAGACAGGTTATACAGGTTATAGTAGGGAGAAAGGAAGAGGCTTGACTAGCAAAGGTGACCTTGTTATATAGATGAAGACTTCTTCAGAGAGACAAGATGGCAAATGTTTATTTTTAGACTTTTAAAGGTGTCAGAATCTCAATCTCTCCTATACCTAGCAAATGCCTAGCAAGAGGAGGCCCGGCTGCATTAATGGACGTTTTCTACAGATGCAAATTTTCCACATAAAAGACAGCTTTGCAAGGCCACTTCCGTTAGCTGACCCTGCAGCAGCCATTTCAAAATATGTCAAAAAATGTCTTTTAGAGTAAATATTTTTATTTTCTTCTCTCTTTATATATATGTATATATATACACACACATATAGATATATATTTATATATTAAATAAGATAATATAATATAAAGCAAAATAGAAATAAAATCTGGGACACAAAGGAGGTTCAGGTATGACATACAAACCACATACACCATATACTTACCAAGAGTGGAATATGCATTCCGTTCTATGCCTTTAGCAGTCAATTTAAAGAGAGAACATTTGTTCAGTTTCAAAATTTATAATATCTAAAATATGAAAGTCCTCATCATGTTTGTAAAGGAATGGAAGGCATGCAAATGAAGAACCATATGGAATGCAGAACAAAATTGCCCGGCAAGATAAGAGAATTAGAAAGTGATACAGTCGTTAAGTTAAATAGATTACTTCTGCTTTGGTGGCCAGAATGAATCATTTATTTAATAAGTACTTACCTAACACTCACTATATTCCAGGCAGGTGTCTAAAAATTTTAAGAAAAACAATTAATGTAATCATTAAAAGAACACTTTGAGGTAGGTTATACAGATTTTACAAGAGAGGAAACTTAAGTCAGAGGGAAATGAAAAAAAAATTTGCTAAGTCATACCATCAAGTGGCTGTAACAATTAGAACCTAACTGGAGAAACAGAATCACCATGAATGACAGAATAAAGGGCTTTTTTTCTAGGGATTAAGCCCCACTTCGTTGCAGGAGCTGGTTAAGCAGTCTTTGTAAGTCTTTCGCCTGTTCTTTGTGCTGGGGCTGAAGTAAGCAGGGCCAGCAGGAAGGGAAAATGGATATGAAGTCGGGGAAACAAATACAAGCTCAAAATGTAGGTCTCTTTTTCACTACCTCCAATCTTGATGGTGTGAATGACCTGCAGGATAGCTGTCATCTTTACCAGGTCGCACTCTTACCTAACCCAGTATTTGAAGAAGCTGAAGGAAAAGGTCACAAAGGAGCTGGAGGAGCTGTGGTCCTGGCTGCTGCCCGATACTAGCAAGTTGAGTCAGCAGATGGATTGCAGTGTGGGTGAGCTACCACAGCTCCTGCACGACAGTGAAACTCACATATATACAAGGATGGGAATGCTGGGAAATGCAGTTCTAATTTAGCTAAGCTGACACAGGACAAGGCCACACACAGGAAATCTGGCTCCTAAATGCATTTTTAACAACTATATATTCCCTCCTCTTCCTTTAAATTGAATCTTGAAGATCCATTAGGTGTCATCCAGATCAAGGTCTGGGGAATATTCTAGGTAAATGAAACTACATGTGCAAATACAAGATTAATTGCACAATGGGTCAAAGACTTCTTAGGCATCAAATTTTGCTTAAATGTCTTGCAAATAAGGGAGAGTGTGGGAGATAAGAAGAAGCTAATAGAATCTAGATGTTGGTATCTGTCTTCCAGATAATTATAAGTTTTCATTATTCTAACTATTGCCTTCATTCCTGCTAATAGGTTCCAAACAGATGCTGTAGCCAAATTTGGTGTTATTTTTTTCTTATGGCACATTGTATCCAAAGTCCTCCATCTTCAAGAAATTACTGCCAATTCCACTGGCTCTAGAGAGGCTACTGATTTTGCTGCAAGTCACCAAAACTTCAGCATTGTGGAATTTATCAGGAACAAAGGTTTTTATCTCAACAATAGCACTTTGTTGGACTGTGAGTTTTTTGGAAAGCCATGTAGCCCAAAGGTAACGATTTTCTATTCTTCAAATATAATCAAAGTAATAAGTTCCGTTACTGCACTGTTTCACATTGAGCTCCCACGGCATTTACTCCCATGGTGAATCAATCCAAATTTGCTTACAGATTCTATTTCATTAGCTCAGCCTTATGATATCAGGGGTATGGAATACACATGAGACAAATTTCCTCTTTCAAGCAGTTAGATAAGGAAAGATAGAAAAGAGAAAACTTGATTGCCTTTCTTGTAGTATAGTCCTTCCAAAAGAAAAACAATTTAACACAAGAGGATATTTTAATTTTTTTCATTCATCAACAAACAACCTATTCCAACATAGTATTTTTATAATCACCAAATATCCATCACTCTGCATATATGCTTATGGTATTGCATTAGAGACTATAGAAAATAAGAGGATCCCAGCATTTAACTATGAAAAATTTATATATTATTATTATATATTATATATTATATATAATAACTAGTATATATTATATATTATATATAATAACTAGTATATATTATATATAATAAACATTCACTCATAACAAATACAAAACAAATACATAACAAATACAAAATCCTGTTATTATTGTTTATAAAATTAATCTACATTTAAGATAAAGTACTAGATCTATCTGTAATCTATTAATAAAGAACTATACAGGCAATTTGATGCCGTATTTCCCGTATCAGCAATTCTGTAGCCTGTGTTGTTAGGGGAACCTAAGTAAACACAAATTCTTTGTTCTTCAATACAATTTCTTATGTTTTTGGTAGGCCGCCTTAGCACACAGTAAGCAGAAAAAAATGCCTGAGAGACATTTCACAGAGGTGAGGTTCTGGCCTAAACTCTTAACTTGGAAAGTAAGCTTTCTTATGCTGTTTTTATTCACCAACAAGTTTAACTTACCAACAAAAAATTTCATGTTAGAGAATTTTTTCAGTTGCATATTACAGAAACCCATTTCTGTTCTAGTAAACTGAAGACTAAAAGTAATGAATTGGCTTAATTAAGCAGGAACTCCAACAGTAGGTCTGGCTTCAAAAAATGCTGAACCAACGGACTCCAAGACTGTCTTTAAGATTCTGACTTTGTTTCCATCTCATAATTCTGGTTGGCTTCTTTCTGTATCAGTTCTCCCCACACCTCACCAAAATGGCTGCTGACTCCCCCTAGACTCATTATCAGAGTTTAGCACTCCAGTATCCACTTAATAATCTCACCAAAGACTCTAATTAGCTCCACTTGGGACACATATCAATTCTTGAACCAACCACTGAGGCAAGAAGGTGAGGTTTAAGCTTGGCCCAGCTTGTGTCCCATGCACACCTCTGTAGTGGTTGGAAAAGGAGGGTAAAAGGAGAGTAAAAGGGTCATGTGATTGACTGCCACACTGTGACCATACAGGTTACATTAGGCATAGCTCCTCCAAGAAAGGATGCTGAAGTAGTGCTCCACAGATAAAAACATGTTTCCATACATCTTCAGGAAAACATTAAACAAGTAATTTTTTTAAATGTTTTAAATACATGCTTAATTTTATATGAAAATGTCTCCTTTAAATAATCACATGCAAATTGACGAATGCATATTACCAAAAAAAAAAAACTATCACTGAATACACATATAAATCAGACTATTCTCTCTGATATTTCTGCAGTCTTGTTAGGTATTTGTGCTTTAAAAAAAAAGGTTATGGCAAACTTGAGAAGTGACAAAAATATCAAATTGATGGTTTTTTTTGGTTCATTTACATATTGGAGGATTTTGCACATGTCTTCACTGAATATGGAAATTGTTTTACTTTTAATCATGGTGAAACTCTCCAAGCAAAGAGAAAAGTGAGTGTCTCTGGAAGAGGTTTGAGCTTACTCTTCAATGTGAATCAGGTACTGAATTTTCTCCAGGTTCAAGACAAACGAGAATGTGTGGGGGTTTCAAAAACTTGATCAGACTATTGGGCCATATCAGATAGTTCCCACACATTGGATATTATTTCAGTTTTTGTTAATTTAGTCTAGACTCCTATGGATTTTATATAACTACTGGCTTAGAAATTAAACAGGCAAAATTTTGAGGCATAAACTGGAGATTTTTAGCTATCCTACTGACTTAAATTATTGACTCCAGGGAATGTTCATGCCACAAAATAAGAAAACCCAGAGATTCTAAGTTGCAATGTATGTAGCTATTTTAAGAGAACTCTTTGCATTGAACAATAATTTTAGAAATACGTTTATGTAAATATCACGTTTTAGAAAGAAACTCTACATACACATTTGACAAACTATAGAATGCATATCTGGAAAAGTGATGGAAAACATAATGGTTATATAAAGAATATTATATAAATAGATTTTGTCCAAGCCCAGCTTTTGGAAAGCTGAAATTGACCTAATAAGTTCTAAGTGTTTAGTCCTGGGAGGCAGATGTTCAAACACCTAAGAAATGCAGTGGTGTTTTCTTCAAGGGTTCCTAGTATAGCTCCCACCCAAGATTAGTTAATTCTGACCTTTTGTTTAAATAACTACTTCTAGTATTACACATTTTAAGGCATTCTACTTTATTATTATGGTTTTATAAAAGAGGATTGTAAAATGCTGATGGATTAAGTATCCAAAATCATACAATTAATGACAAAGATGAAAAGTAAAATTGATGTTCCTGCATTCACCTCCCAATCCAAGTGAATCATGCCATTGGCTACTTTTAAAGAATTTCCAGTAATGTACTCTTCATAGCTTCCTTTTGTATCCCATTCAAGATATTTTTCTTTACGTCCAAACATAACACTGCAAACTTTAATGCATGTACCTACATATACTTGTAATGTATTTGATTAATACTTTCGAGTCATTCAAATATTAGCCCTATGGTCAGTTCGAACATTATATTATCAATTTTTACAAACTAGAATTTTCCAAATATTTTTAGAATGCAATGAACATCTACAAATTCAATGCAATGTTCCATAGGTAAATAACATTTAGATATTTCTCCAGACTAGACAGTTAAGTGTTTCTTAGAGGGTTACAAAAGGGCCAGGAGAAATAGAGTTTTGAATTACAAATAGAATATTTAGTATGTTTGTTAAATGTAATTACATAGGCAGTTGATCCATTCATAGACGATATTCTTTATATTTATATTCTTAAGACTGTGCCTTCTTCTTATAGCCTAAAATTACAACTAATGACAGCCACCAGAAGTTTACTCTTAAATTTCTTCATCTGACAAAAGATTTATTAAAAAGAACATTAGTGTTAAAGAAATAGTGTAAATCTTCACTCTTATGGGAAAATGAATTTGAATTTAACATAAGGGCAGGGATTTTAATTGCAAAATGAAGAGGGCCAAATGATTTTCTAAGCAAATGAGTCAAAGAAAACAGCCAAGAGGGAAGCAACTAAAAGGCAACTAGGTGAAGAGAAGGCCAGAGGGAACAAGATCATTAACAGTAATTGTAAATACTTACCTGCACCTATCTAAGGTGAAATGTGATCCATGGAAAACTATAGAGGTCTTAAGCAATGAATGTCAATTGAGAAAAACGGTGAGACAAGTCTCAATCATTTTAGAAAGTTTATTTGCCAAAGTTAAGAACAGGCACCCATGACACAGCCTCAGGAAGTCCTGAGGTAGTCCGGGGTAGTCAGGGCACAACTTGGTTTTATACATTTTAGGAAGACATGAGACATCAATTAATATATCTAAGACATACATTGGTTTTATCCAGAAAGGTGGGGACAACTTGAAGCAGGGAGGAGGCTTCAAGGTCATAGGTAGGTGAGAGACAAATGGTTGCATTTTTTTTGAGTTTCTGATTGACCTTTCCAAAGGAGGCAATCAGAATAGGCATTCATCTCAGTGAGCAAAGGAATAACTTTAAATAGAATGGGAGGCAGCTCCCAGTTTGACAGAGCCCAAGATAATTTCCTTTCCCATTCCCCTGCTCCCTTTAAAAAAAAAATCTTTAGGAGAAAGCATTTTAGGAGAATATGAGTCTCTGGTCTCAGTTTTCATCTGATTTCTCATGGTTAGGATGGTTTATTACTAGATGGGTAGGTCCCAAAAGCTTATTTTTAGCAGATTGCAAAGTCTCATGTTCTATGAAGAGAAAATAGTGGGAGGAAGGGAGAAAAACAACAGCAAAAAAAAGAACAATACTGGAAATATTCATATAGGCCATGTTACTTTGAAGTCCGTACATCAGTAGGCAGGTATGAAAAGTGGCTTATGTATGTAAATAGGCTGCAGTTACTTTCTTCTAAAGTTTAAGTTGACTGGCTTCAGTTTGCCGGACTTTAAGAAAGCACAGCTTAGTTTTCAGTGACTCCAAATTAGGAAATATGGGGGAAAAAAAAGAAAAAAATTGAAAACATTATTTTGAAGGCTTGTAGCCAAGAAAAAATAGAATTTGGTCCAAACTGTAGAAAATAATAAAAATTGAAAAACACTGGGCAAGACTAGAATCTAACAACAGGTGTACCCTAGTTTTGGAAACATAATTTTTCTCTCTTCTCTAATCCTAACTAAAGGATTAATTAGGACATAAAATTTCCCATTTTTGCTAAAGACAAATCATGTTAGGACTAGTTTGCTTTATTTTACTTTGCCAAATTATTTGTATACAGTGCACCAAGAATAGTTATTTTTTACATAGGCTTTTAAATTGCCTTTGGTGGAACTTTGTTCCATAGAAGGAATGTCAGATAAGACTTTTTAAAAGCCGAGCCCAGCCGTAGATTTGTGCCATCAAGTACCTATGAGTTGGGTGAATCTCCTCGCCACTCGAGGTTCCAAGATAAACTTGGAGCTTCTGGGCCTGTCAGAAAGTGACATTCTTTACTTACCACAGGTCAGAAACCCTGTACAGGGACTCTGTACACAAAATATGAGGTCAGTTTTTCCAAGGACATTATTGGTTTCATAAGCCAAGTTTGATTCCTTAAAGGAAAGCACACCATTCCAGTAAAAGCCTTGGTAAAATAACCAGTTTCTCCAATTGTGTCCTGTTACAAGTGAAAACAGATTCTTATTGCACTTATGCAAATAACTGTATTGCCACAAGTTAAGAATATCCACAAATAGTTTCCAAATTCTGGAGAAATCAGGCAGACAGGATAAAGTATGCTCCACGTTTTGTTCATAGGAGTATTCTAAATTGTAGCTCAAAATAAAAGTTTTAAGACTCTGAAAAACAAAACAAAGGATCAGCAAACATTTTAAGTAAAAAGTAAAAAAGATTATTTGAGTCCATGCAGTTAATTCCTGTTCTGTTTAATACTCATGAACATTTTAGCTCTCCATGAGTCCTGAAAGTTTTTCCTCTTTTCTGATGTTACAATCTCCAAAGTTATCAGAAACCTGCATTTAAGGGCACCTGTTAGAGTTTTGTAGCTGATTATAAAAACACCTTCTAAAGAGGACCAAAACATGAGCACAATTGTCCTTGGATGAAAAAAGGTTTTAGGGCAGACATAGTCAAAGACACAATTGACAAGGAAATTTGTTACCTCAGTGGTACACAATAATTTTAACATAACAATTATTATTATTATTGATAATGTACACTAAGTCATATCAGAATTACAGGCCTTTCCATTAATTCTGGAACACTTACCAATAACATTTACATAAATACAGCCCAAATAAAACCAAACACCATTTCATATTTGACAATGCTTCCTGTATAATTTTATACCAAGTAAGCCAAATTATGTCATTTTTGGACTTTAGGGAAACTAATATCTTAAAGGATTAATTAGGTCAGAAAAAGACATAATTTATAATTTGATTTTAGAAAGATCTTCAAATATCAAAGGTGTAAAATACTTGATATTATGAAATAGGATTACAGGTTATTGTAAAGTCATTCATTTAACCAAAGTGATAACTCAAGGATTTTTTTTTAAAAAAAGAAAAAAACTTCATTCTTTGAGAGAGGAGACTTAATTTTCCAAATAAGAAGCCCTAATAAAAACAGCATGAAGCCAATTAAATTTGTTTTCCAAAATTTTGTAAACAATCTATAAAATTTAATCTTGACCATAAAATATAACTTCCATAAGCCTTTTATAACCTTTATGATCTTTATTAAGGAGTTAGTTAATGCTTCAAGAAAACCTTGTTAATCTGACACAGGAGTCCATATGCTGGTCTTGCATCATTGTGCCTTTGACAGTCGTGATTAATTTATAGAGAAACTGAACTTATTTTGTCTTTTAATATCGCCCATTGCAATCTCACATGCCCACCTCTTCCTCAATAGTCCCTAGGCCTCGAGGAGTTGAATGGCTTTAATTTCTGGCCCCACATCTCAAAAATGCATTTTATTTATTTATTTATTTTTTTTACTGAGACAGAGTCTCACTCTGTCACCTAAGCTGGAGTGCAGTGACATGATCTTGGCTCACTGCAACTTCCGCTGACTGGGTTCAAGTGATTCTCATACCTCAGCCTCCCAGGTAGCTGGGACTACAGGCATGCGCCACCATGCCCAGCTGATTTTTTGTATTTTTAGTAGAGATGGGGTTTCACCATATTGGCCAGGCTGGTCTGGAACTCCTGACCTCAGGTGATCCACCTGCTCAGCCTCCCAAAATGCTGGGATTACAGGTGTGAATTCCTGTGCCTGGCCAGGAATGCATTTTATTTTTATTGGAATCTGCTGTGGGGCCTGAAGATGAGGATTTAATTGCTGTTAGTGTTTAAGATTTAGTAGGACTTGGTATCCTTTTTAGACCCTGGAGTCAAAGCCCTGTAACTTAATGTCACAAGGACTTTAAAAGCACATACAGGAAGATACATGGATGTAATAACCTTAATTTGAAAACAAAAATTTTTATCTCAGTTTTTTTCCTAAGCAAACCAACACTTAATAATAATGTGACAACTTGATCATATTAAAGTTTTTGGTTTTTTAAAAAATAAATCCTTATTGTGACTTACACTGACTATTAATGACATGCTTGAACTTTCTGGTTTGACCTGAACACTTCTCCTTTCTTAAACAACCAGTCATTTTATTTTAGGACTAAATTTACCATATTATTTCTCTTTAAGCTGTCTTACCACAAAAAAACCTCCTTATTTTTATAGCTTTCTTTACATCTCTTTTTGTTTGCTTGTTCTTCTTACCTTGTTTTATACATAACCTTTAGATAAGCTTTGAATTAGACAAAATTTGTTTATGTTTTTTTATAAAGGACACACTTTTTTTTAGCAAGAATGTTTTTCTATAATATATATTTATTGGAAAATACCCACATAATGAAATATCTATTATTTAACTGAATATAACTTTATATTCTAAGTTACGACATGTTTGTCTACAAGTATTTATCCCTTACCTAACTATTTTATTTTAATTGTTCACCTAGATTATTTAGGAAAACTACGATAGTCATGATTTAAAGTTATGAAACTGCCATTGCAAAAATAAAACTGAGGCAGTGAAAAAGATACGACCTAATTGACTCCATCTTGCTTCTAACCTCCAAGCTGTCCTTGTTCATTCCTGGACTTTGGGAGGAACTGAGTTTATAGTTTAGGTTTGAAACAAAGACAATAGCAGTCCTTTCCCAAACAAACCTCCTTACTGCCTGTGGACTAGGCTGCCTAAAGCCACAAGATTAGAAATTATGGTAATTTTGAAAATTTAAGATGCAGCTATTTTCATTAAACCAATATCAATGTCTTATTTATTAAAAACTACACAAGTAATGATCATTCTGTTTGGGGCTGGGTTTACAGTTTTGTAATCTCTATGCCAAATTTTGACATTTTATAGTGTTTGGCAGGGATAAGTTGAAATAGCCTGATTAATAAACATAAACAAAAAAAGTATGCTGGCAATTCTTAAGACATTTCTGATATTACTTTACTAGTAATTTTAAAGCTAGCTTTTCTATTAAAGATTTTACTTAAGTTACATAAACTTGAAAAAGAATTTGAACTGTCTTTTCTTTTTTCCTGATAAAATATATGATTTAAACACTTTTATTTTTCTTTAAGCCAATTAATTAGAGCCCTTTTATATATTTTCTGTAGTGAAATATTGTGTATATGACATATAAATACATAGACATATTAGGTATGCCAATAAAGGTACATTTTATAGATTCATAAAGACCCTTTTATTATTTTTTTCCTATCTTAGACATTCAGATTCTTGATAACCTGTTTTACAACCCTAGGCAGTTGTTAGCTAAATAGCCTTAAATTTGCTTATTATAGGAAACAACTCAGGTGAAAATAAAATAGCAAACTTTATATCATAAGGTACAGAGAGAAAAAGTCTGTTGGTGCTAGAGGGAGATGCTTTTATTTTTCTTTGAGCCAAATCTAACATAAAATTATAGAACTCTATCATAATATTGTATAAGGAGACCAATCTTATTTAGATAGGGACTACCTATATTTTAACTGGATCTCTAAGCTCTGGGCAGAGCTCACATTGAATCCTGGGTCTCCAAAAAACGGTAGAATTATTTTGAGGTTAGACCCTGTGATGCTTTCAGAGTGCACTTAAATTTTTTTTTAACAAAGATATTTCTGAGTGTCTTAACTACACTCTTCCTTAAAAACCCAAGATTAGCCTCTGTTGCAATAACTATTTTAGTCAAAAGATCAGGTGAAAACGGAATTCAGTCAACTGAAGGAAAAAAAAAACTTTTGCTCAAAAAAAAGACAAAGTCTTAGGAGAGAAAAACAAAAAAAAAACCCACAAAAACCTGAAGGCCTTTTAAATACAAACATGCACACATGCACACATACACACACACATCTTGGATGTTAATCTTTTAATTAAGTTGACTTTGAAACACTGAGCTTCTTTAAAAAAATTCTTTTTAGACCTCATTACCATATTTCAGAAGTGCAGCCATTGCTCTTTCAGTTTGGTCTGGCTGATAAAAAGGTGGCTTTGTTATGTAAATAAAGCCCCTTTAGTAGTCAAAATAAAAAATCTTTCCTTTTTTTTTCCTCTTGATTGCTGTTTTCTTTCCACTTCAGAGGCCTTGTTCCCCATAGTTTAGAGTTCCCCTTTGGATTTGACCAAGTTGGGACACGTGTTGGACCCAAAATGTGCTGCTAGCAGACTTAGCTTTTCAGGGCTGTTATCCCTGAACAAGATTGGTCGTCCTGTGTTGCAGCTACCTGGCACAGTGTGTTAGGTGCTCAAGATGCAGCAGGGGTTGGCTCCTAACATGCACCTGCCAGCTGAGATTAGACCCTAAGTATATTCTTCTGAGGGGGATACTTATTTAGAGCCACTGCACATTTTAGGGAGCATTCCTCCCAGACACCCCCATGTGATTCTCAGTCACATGAGAATGCCCCAAAAGGCTTAGGGGAGCAAGGTGCTTTATTTCTTTGGAGTGGAAAATTCTATACTCATGAGCTAGAGGGTTCTGAGTTGGTCAAATCCAATGAGAGAAAGAACCAAAACACACACACACACAACCCCACAAGAGAGAAACAAACAACAAAACAGTTAAGCAAAACTAACAGTGATCACACAAATTATATGATTTCTGAGCGCTCTAAGTGTAAGCAGAAATTAACATCAGCTGGTTGTTAATGCTAACTTTAGTTCTTTAAAAAGAATTTGCAAGAAAGAATCCCAAACCAGTTTTCTTACCTAGTGATGGGGCCCAAGCTGAAAACTGCTCTCTGCCGATGCAGAAGCAGGTAGGTTCACATTCCTTGGTGGATGCAGTGGAAACTCCCACAAAAAAAGGAGTTTTTTTTGTTTGTTTGTTTTTTGTTTTTTTAATAGCGAATGAACCTCAGACCCCCAAATGAAAAACAATGGAAGATCAGGGATCCCTGGAGGAAAGAGTTCCTGGAGTTCAGCAATCGTCCTATTGGTTTGGGCTATAAGGTGCCCAAGCTGGTACCAAGCACTGATAGGCTAGCTGCTGCAGGCCAGGTCAGCTTCACTCAGGATCCCTTTGTGGTTACCAGACATCAATCAAGAAAAATGATGAGACAAGCCTCAATTATTTCAGGACTGTCCTGAGTAGACCCCACCTTGAAGGGACCCAAGATAGTTTCCTTTCACCGATTCAACCACTAAAGTATGTCTTTAATTTTCATACACTTTAGACAAAAAGAGATAGAAATATAACATAAAATATTTAGGATTAGTCAAACGCTATCATGAGATGATAAAACTAAATCCTAAACTTGTTTAGAACTGATATAGTCAATTTGCAATTTGGGCAAAAACATATTTTTGTTTCAGGAGGCATTCACTGATAACCCAGCCCTTGGTTTCGTTGATGCTGGGATCATCTTTGTTATCCATTCACCAAAGAAGGTGCCACAGTTTGATGGGTTAGGCTTGTTGTCACCTGTGGGAATGCACGCAAGGGTAACCATCCGCCAAGTGAAGGTAAATACTCGAGTCTGAGGAAATTAGGTGGGGTAGTGAATGCATCAAACACATAAGTAATGCTTTTCACTAGAAATTCCTTTCTCCCATGCCTGTAAAACACCATTAGAAATTCCAAAATTTCATTTCAGATTATTTTCCTTTATCTGAAGGTACATGATTAGTGGAAACAGAAACTATGTAAGTGAAAGCTGGGAAGCCTATCAAATCCAAACTTTACATTTCATTAGAAATGGAAAGGGTCATTAAGTATAAAGAGGTACCTAAGTTGCTGAGCTATGATTCTTCAATGAGACTATCTGGGAAGGAGAAAATTAGTGGGAAAAGCAGGAATCTTGGAGTCAGGCTGGTCTGGTAGGTTTCTGTTTGCCAGCCACTTACTTGCCCGGTAACTTCTTTAATTAGCTTCCTGAATTTGCATCTCCTCTCTGCACAAATAGGGAAGGGGTAATATTTTTCTTTCATAGTAAGGAAGTTTAAGTGAAGTACCATAAAGAAAGCACTTACCATTGATAGACACAGGAGACAGCCAAGGGCCCCTGGTGAAACCCTGCCTTCAAACCTAAAACAGCCTGAAGGCTGAAAAACTGGACTGCTTGTCCCAGATGAAGGCTGTCCTTTCCCACCTGATTCTTTCTGAAAAATGCCCACCTGCACATTGGGAGGAAGGGGTGGAGCCTTGGGAAGTTTGCACTGTTTGCAGTGGGGAGGAGCCTGGCCTCTCATGTTCCTGTGTGGTGGCCTGAGATTCAATCTGTGAGGTGGGAAACCTACCAGCAGGACTCTCTCTCACTTAGCTGAGAGTCATTTTTCTTTTTTTCTTTTCACCCAATAAATTCCATTTTCCTCACCCTTCTATTTGCCCGCGAGCCTCATTTTTCCTGGTCATGTGACAAGAGCCCAGTTTTAGCTGAACTAAGGAGAAAGTTCTGCAACACCATGTTGCCTGGCACATAATAGTTGCTTATTAAAGGATCTTTTTAAAATGTGATTTTCTTCACTGTTTTGTAGGTGAGCTGATTACTACACTAATATAACATTTACATAAATGATATTTTTTCCTTATATGAGTTGATTTTTAGAATACTCAATGTGTCTGACTTTATTAATTCACATTTGGGATATATGTTTAAGGATCACTATTATACTTAGCTTCAGGGAATTTCAGGTCAATAGAGTAGGCAAAATAGACAAATGTAACCAATTTTGGTTTTGAAAATCAAAGAGCTCTGAGAGGAAAATAAAAATGTGTACCAGCTTCTTGATGGAAAATAAGTGAATTGATGTAAACACATCTCCTGAACCCAGTATTTATCTTATCTTAAGACAGTTCATCAAGAATACCCTTGGGGAGAATGCAATCCTAACATCAAGCTGCAGAATTTTAGCAGCTACAGCACTTCTGGTTGCTTGAAGGAATGCAAAGCCCAGCACATAAAAAAGCAATGTGGATGTGTGCCTTTTCTTCTTCCTGGTAAATAAAGACTAACTGCCCCCTTACTTAACTAGACAGTTAAGTGTTTCTTAGAGGGTTACAAAAGGTCTGGGAGAAATAGAGTATTGAAATACAAATGGAATATTAAGTATTATTAAGTGTAATTACAGATGTTGCTGACCCATTCACAGAAAAATTATTATATTCTTAAGCCTGTTCCTTCTCTTTGCAGACTAAAATGACAACTAATAACAAAGTCACCAGAAGTTTAGTCCTAAATTTCTTTGAATTTTATGTTTATATTTACTTAATTTGAAACATAGCAAATCAACATATCACTAAATTGTTTTCCATTCTTCTGAAATTCTACACTGGAAAATTATCCATTTGCCAGGTACAACTTCGACTGACAAATTTTACATTATAAAATCATCGCAGAGATTTCTGGAAGAGAAAATTGCGATATCAGGGTGGGGCCCCAATACTTACTCCCAAAGGCTAAAATTTGATGGTCTCAAATATCTAAAACAGCACACCAAGATTTTCTTAATTTTGAAAGAAAAATTAGATCATGGATATGTCTTACCAAGCCTGAAGATTTCACTGTTGAAAAGTTATTTTCTTTGGGACTGTAAAATTAACTTCAGGCCTCCTTTTCATACAATTTGCAACTTTTCCAGAACCATGGGTGAGAGGCAAGCATTCAAGGAAGCAATGGAGCAGGGTGAATAAGAGCTGGATCTCAACCAGGCTGCTCATGTCGGCTCTACAATTTCTCCCCTAGGTGATCTTGAACAAGTGACCTAACCTCTCTCCTCTGCTGTCAAATGGAGGAGGGGATAATAATCCCATCTTATAGGGTTGTTGTAAGAATGAAAGGGGTATGTAAGTGGTTCAAATAGTGCCTGGCACAGAATATAGTCTATGTAAATGTCAGATATTTGTATTCAGGTCTCTTACATCCCCCTCCCACAGCATATCTAGAAAGATATATTGTAACACAATCTACCTGCCAAAATATTGTAACTGCCCAACGGGCTCACCATGCCTGCTGCCTAGACAGAGCTGATTTATCAAGACAAAGGAATTGCAATAGAGAAAAACTAATTCATGCAGAGCTGGCTGTGCGGGAGATTGGAGTTTTATTATGACTCAAATCAGTCTCCCTGAGTATTCGGAGATAAGAGTTTTTAAGGATAATTTGGTGGGTAGGGGACCAGTGAACCAGTGAATCAGGGGTTCTGATTGGTGAGATCAGAGATGAAATCATGTGGAGTTGAAGCTGTCTTTTTGCGCTGAGTCAATTCCTGGGTAGGGGTCACAAAACCAGATGGGCCAGATTTTTGTTCTGGGTGGTGCCAGCTGATCATTGGAGGCAGGGTCTGCAACATATCTCAAGCACTGATCTTAGCTTTTACAATAGTAATGTTATCACTATAAGCAATTTGGGGCGGTTTAGAATCTTGCACCCTCCAGCTGCATGACCCCTAAACATAATTTCTAATCTTGTGGCTAATTTGTTAGCCCTATATAGGCAATCTAGTCCCCAGGCAGGAAGGGAGTTTATTTTGGGAAAGGGCTGTTATTGTCTTTGTTTCAGAGCTAAACCATAAACTAAGTTCCTCCCAAAGTTAGTTCAGCGAACGCCCAAGAATGAACAAGGACAGCTTGGAGGTTAGAAACAAGATGGAGTCAGTTAGGTCAAATCTCTTTCAATGTAATAATAAAAGTAAAAAATATATAAAATATAAATATAAAATATGTATAAATATAAAATATATATAAAATATAAAAAATATATATTATATTATATATAATATAAAAAATAATAAAAGTAAAAAAGATATAAATTTTGCAAAAGTGGTTTCATTATTTTCCAGAGGTTTCCATAATCATCACATCCTTCTTTTTAGTATCCAGATTATTGATCTCTGGCCACTGCAAAAACTGCTGTTCTATATAAAACTGCTGGCTCTGGCTCTGATTTCTCATTCCTAATTTATTGGCAAAGTTGCTGGAAAGAAGTCTGAATTGTTTCATGCAGAATAATGTTGACAATTTTAAAAGTTATGATTATTAAACCAAAACCTACTGGCTAATGTGGACCAGAAACTAGGCAAGGTGCTATATAAAACACAAAGAATGATATCTGCATGAACTTTAGCATATATATCAAATGCATTCAGGAATATGATCTTATTTGGTTAGATTCTCACACATCCCTTTAAGTGTACTGATATATGAATAAACGGAAGATTCTAAACGTTAAACAAATTCGCTGAGGTAATTCCACTAACAATTTGAGGAAGCAATCTCCAAAACAGCTTTTCAGATATTGGTTATTTCCAAAATTTCATTGTTCTTTTGTTTGTTTGTTTTTATTTTTGTTTTCTGTGTTCCATCTACCATCTTTTTTTTCTGAATTGCTCTTTATAATGGAAGAAATATTATTGCCAGAGCAAGAAATAATTCAGAAAAATGAGGTTTTTTCCTAACTCAGTGTTGGAGGTAGTTTTTTTTTTTTACTTATTGTATTTTATTCATAAAGAGCACTTCCTTACAGTTAGCCAAACATTCCACAAATTGTCCGCACGTTGTAAGTGGACAATCTCCTTTGGTTATTTTCAAGATTACTGACTAAACATTGTGGCTAACTGCTGAGTCACATGGGCTATAGCAATAGACAAATATTGTATTAAGGCTAAAAGACTAAGTCTTTAGAATCAGCCGTAGGAGTAAACCCAGCTCTGATACATAGTGATTTTCTACTTATCTCACAATCTATAGTGGGTACTTAACAAATATTGGTACTTACCTGCCCCCTCCCCATCCTACTTCTGGAATGGCAGTCTGTCAGGAACGTGTGTGTGTGTGTGTGTGTGTGTGTGTGTGTGTGTAAATGGATAGAGGGAGCAGGATGGAAGATGTACAGAATGTGCCAAGTTTCCCCTAACTGTGTGGTCTTGAGCAAGCCACTCTTTCTGAGGCTTAGTTTCTTTATCTGTAAAATGAAAATTCTCATATGACAGGATTGTGAACCATATCAAATGAGATGATAACTGTGAAAGTAATTTTAAATTTGAAAACTACTCACATTTGAAAATTATTATTCCCGCTTAAAGATTTTAGAGTGATATAGACAGATGGAAAGAGGTATGGAAAGAAACAAAAGCATTATTCTTCCTCCCAACACATATTTTCACTGGATACTAACTTGATTCCATAGTTTTGCTTATGAAAGAATAGATGTTCATATAGAAGAATGGGTGGGTGGATGAATGGATGGATAGATGTAGGTAAGAAAGGTATTTTTGTCATTAGATCACTTATTTTACAAAATGTAAAGTCTCTATATGTTACACTTATTATTTTTAAGGATATGGGATAGAATGTGACCTACAAAAGTACTTCAGCTGTGTTTCTCCTGTACTTGGTAAGTGCTTAATTTACTTTTATTTTCAGGATTTATATTAAAGTTGCTCAAAGTAATATAAGACATTAAGTCAAACTATGGATAGCCCAGAAATTAAACAGAATATAGTATATAAGAGAAGATCTTTTTGTAAGTGTTCTTAAATAGTAGCTAACAAACACAGGCAGTATACACAAACAAAAACCCTCTGATATTAAGACACATCTAAATTTTTAAATTTTGTTCTTTTTTATAATCAAAATATCCTAGCTGCTTTTTATTGTTTCACAAATAAAACAAGTTTATTGTGAATAGTTAAAATACTACAGAATAGAAAGGAAATCATGTAAAAATAAATAGAAGTTTTATTACTGAGAACTCCTCTCACTGATTGGGAATAGTCCTTCATTCATTCACTTTATTGCATGCACTTGGCATATAAAATTTTTTCATAAATGGAATTATAACTGTACATGCCATATTTATTGGGGACAAGTTCTTATTAAAGAGCCCCCTCTTTTTTTTGCTTTCACACCTCTTACCTTAACCTGCAATAATCGCTAACACTTTAGTATATCCTACTGTAACTTTCTCCACATATACATCTCCATATTTATCACGTGAAGTCATTGGTTGTTTTATTAAAACAGAATCCCAATATATACCCTTCTATGCAACTTGCTTTTCTAACCCATTGTGGAAATATCTCCAGGGTAGCAGGAATAGATTTAAAAGGTTCTTTTCAATGGTTGTAAAATATTTCAAGGTATGGCTATAGGTAGAAGGAATCTTTTTTTATGTAGATCACAGGCTGAATATACAAAAGCCGTATTACTAACCAATAGACTTGAAATGATGTTGCCAGATTTCTTCAGATTTCTTATCCTTGTTGGAGGCTGGAGGGAGAGCTTGGGGAAAAAAACCATGCATGCAGTTTAGCGGGGACTGTTGTGGGATAAGGAGGTCAGAAGAGTGTGTGTGTTTGTGTGTGTGAGAGAGTATTATGTACATGAGAGTATATGTATGTAAGTGTGTGTGTGAGAGTATGTGCATGTGAGCCTATGTGTGTATGGGAGTGTATGAGTGCATGTGAGTGTAGGAGAAGAGTGGTGGTCTTTGCCAGCAATGCTAAAGAACTAGCAGATGCATGCTTTGACTTCTCCTAGAGAAGTCAAAGTTAGAGTCTGAAAAGCAAACCTAAAGTTGGTCAGTAACCAGGAGGTCTTGGTAAACAACTGATTCACGAGAACAAAGGGTTTCAGTATCAAAACCAAAGGAAAAACAAGAACCTGAGTATCTACCATGAATGAGGAGCAGTGAGAATGAGCACTGGGAGGTGGTCCAAAGGGAAGCTGGAGACAAACACTACCTGCTACAGGGACTTTTTTCTAGTATGCATTTGCATGGACAGCCTGGTTGCTCTGAAGGAGCCAAGAGAGATCACTGAACAGAGAACCTCAGTGGTTGATTTGGAAGTGACTGGGCCAACAGAAATAAGGAACTGCAAATACTCAGGAGCACATTTCTTACCATTGTATGTTGAGACAAATCTGAAGATGTTTACACACTTTCCATCTTTCTTCTGTCCAAATATCTGATATTTTACAGAAATAGACCCAGATATTCTTCTGTCCAAATATCTGATATTTTACAGAAATAGACCCAGATATTCTTCTGTCCAAATATCTGATATTTTACAGAAATAGACCCAGATACTTCCTGAAAATAATTTCTTAAATCCAATAAAGATCCCAATCCAGTGACTCAATGAATTCAAAGATTGGAACTTCCAGGCCTTATATTGTATCTCCTCTGCTATATTCAGAGTAACATATTTGTTTCAGAGTAAACACCATTTGTTGTTGGTAACCACCTTTTTTTAATATTGAAAGTGAAATGATAAACTTTATAAAACTATCCTACCCATGATGAAATATTTCTCTTCTCTGAATTCCCTGTCCTGATTTTCATTTCAGACCACATTGAATTTAAGGATTTATGTACAGTAGGAACACATAACTCTAGCTGCCCCGTTTCTTGTGAAGAAATAGAATACCCGGCCACTATTTCTTATTCCTCTTTTCCAAGTCAAAAAGCTTTGAAATATCTTTCCAAGAAGTTGAATCAAAGCCGGAAATACATCAGGTAACCTTACTAGCCTTTTAAATTATTGATAATTAACATAGATTTTTTTTTCTTTATTGAAAACCCTCAAAGACTCAGGAAATGAAATTCTAATCAATCAAGGGAGGCAATGGCTTTTTTCACTGAACTGACAATGAAACCATAGAATTTTAAAAGTAAATAAGATCATATCTTTCAACTCCTTACTGTAATTGTGTGAAAAGGAAAATGATGCTTGCTTGAGTAACTTGCTCATGATCAAACATTTATTGCCCAAACTGGGGAAAATAATAATGTTGACTGATAATAATGGATGCCTTAAAATATGAAAATTTCCTACCTGTACATTATACACTTTGAGTCTTCTAATAACTGTACAAGGTAGATGAAACAGAAATTAATATTCTAATTTTACAGAAGAGGAAACTGAAGGACATCGTATTTTAAGAAATGGTTCTGTGAAGGTAGTCAGGGGCCCAGAAAGAAGTTATGCCCAAGAACTTTGACGCTGGTCCCCATGTCTTTGCAACTCAGATACATGATTCCACGTCCCCTGATTAACTGAGAATTAAATTAGTCCTCTTTCTGCTATACCATACAGCCTCTTAAAAATTACAAATCAAGCTTCATAAATAACTCTTCGTTTTTTAACAGGGAAGCAACATTAGCATTTCTCTTTGTTTCTTCTTTGTATTTTTAGGACTAGGACATGAAGCAGCAATATATACAGTATATTGGTATTTGTAGTTATATCTATTAAAATAAAAATATGTTAACTAACTTAAGGTTGACGTACATTTTCACAGATGTGTGCATAATTTGGAAAGCATGCTTAGATTCCAATGTTAGCCTTGTGCTTACTTTAATAAAATAAAAAAAAATTCCCATGTAAACGCTGAGGTAACAAAGTGATCTTTACAGAAAGAAAAAGCATTTTCATCAAAACAGGGCTAATGGAGTGATTTCAAACAGCAGATAAAGTGATAAACAGGCTGTAAAATTTACAATTATGTTTGTTTACACTTCCGACTCCAGCACAGACATCTATTTATATATTTTGTTTTAATGTGGGAAACTGATTTGCTTTTAATATTGTTCCTGATGTATTTAAATATGACTTAGAAGAGCACTTCCTGTGTCTTTTGGTTGATAGAAATCTCCTGAGTTTCATAATTACTTAATATACAGAGAAAGTAGGCATGATTTTGGAGACATACTGGTGAATCAGAAAAGAAAGCCATGTATGAAACAAGAGGATCTTAGGGAATGCTGTTTTTTTTTCTTTTTTTTTTTTTTTCCAAAACTCAGATTATTCTTGAAACGGGAGAATTCTCTGATTCCCCTTGCAAAATGTGCAACAGGGTGTTGCTCGCCTGTTCGGTATCCCCGCAGCTCAAACTCCTATGGAGAGCATGCAGACGGGCAGGTGCAGAGGCCAGGGGGAGCGCTTTGGGCTCCTACCCCATGGTAGTGTCTAGCATTGGGTGCCTGCAACCCTAGGGTTACAAAGCTCTTTCAGCTTTGCTGTCTACAGATGGCTGGAGGGTTAATCAGCTCAATGGACCCTCTGCCTTATCGCAAGGGCAGAGGGCCAGTGTGACAGCCTTCTGTATCCCAAGGTCTTTCCCAGTGTCCCAGAAGAACTGGATTACACACGGGCTCGAAGGATGGGTGCAAGGTTTTATTGAGTGGTGGAGGTGGCTCTCAGTGAGATGGATCAGGAGCCAGAAGGGGGTATGGAGTGGGATTGTGATCTTTGCGTGGAGTCAGGCAGCCTGTGACTAGATTCTTCTCTGAACACCCCCGGCCGAGCTCCCCTTGGTGTTCAGATGTGCCTTCTCTTCTCTCTTTCTCTGCCACATCATTTTGCCATCACTGGTTTGTTGATCTGTTGGTCTTCTCGTCTCTTCTGGAGCTTGGGGTTTGGGTTTCATATGGAGGCAGGATAGGGGGTGTAGTGGGCCAAAAGGCAACTTTTTGGATGCAAAAACAGAAATGCCTGTTCTCATTTAGGGCCACGGGTATCCAGGTCTGAGGGTGGGCCTTTGCCAGGGAACCGCCCTCTTCTACCCAGTATTTTTCTGTTTCCTGTCCATATAATTATTAATTATTATCCAATTAATCCTATCACATAATGTACATGTAGGGACCTTACATGGTTTTAAATAGTGGAGGCCATTACCAGGAAGACTAAGGTGAGCAGCTGAACAAAGGTGGCTGGACTCAGGGGTTGTTCAACTCCCACACAGAGACAGTTAGAAGTCACACATATAATTAAGCAACTGGTTTGTGCAAAGGTACTGGAAATTAGAGAGTGGTAAATCAGAAAACAGAAGTGCAGTTTGTCAGGACGGCAAATGTGAAATGTTAGCAGCAGTCATTTTAAAAGAAGCGACCCCTAACTTAACCATGGAGGTGTATGTTTTTGTCTTCCTGGGACAGAAATAAATGCTACTTCATGGTCAATCCACGGCCTCATGGGGCTGCTGCTGTACCTCAAAATGTTGAGAGGCTTAGCTTGACTGTAGCAGGCAGTGTGGAGTTTACCCTTGAAGATAAGGGTAAATTGTGTCTGACGTTAGGCCAACTTCATTAGTAAAACAAGTGAATTTTAAAAATTGTTCTGTTTTAACTTAACAAATTTTGAAATAAAAATTGTATAAAATTGTTTTCTTTATGCCAAATTAATTCATTCCCCTAATGCAGCACTCCTGTTCAAGCATCTGGAAGCTTTTTTAGAAACTATTTTGTAATACAATAAAAAAATTCAGTTTTTAGTTTTTACTTTATAATTGTGCCTCTCCTGACACAAATATTTTTGGACTCAAATCCTGTTAAATCCTGGACAATTTCACTATTGCCATGAGGCACAGATTCAGTGAGACCCAAATGATTGGACAAAACAACTGCCTGAGAGAAGTTGAGCAAATATCACAATATTTTTGCAGGGGAAGAATTTATCTTCTCTCAAAATCACAGGTGGATAATGCTTGGATATGATTATGAATGTTGTGCTTGGGAAATTAAACAATATTATCAGTGCACATGCAAATTAGGAGCACAATGGGGGACAAAGAGATTGGAATATTACTAAAATTTCTGGACTTCCAAGACAACTTTATTTTTCCATTACTTTGGGAACTGTTTTATCATTTGTAAATATTACTGTAATCCCTGATTATCTACTTAAACATAGTACATTCTCCTGTTACTCAGGGTTAAACCAATGGAAATTAAGTAAACATATTAATGATATATTTTGAATTAAGTATATTTGGAATTATTGATTTCAAAAATTGTAAACATTAAGGAGAGTGATTTACAGCCATGTTCTTTAGGTGTATTAAAGATCACCACATAATTCTAGGAAACTCGGCTAATAGTATCCACTCTTAATGAATACTATTATTATTATTGCCATTTTAAAATCATGAGGTACTTGGTTTCAGATTCATCTTATAACACTGACAGGGTAATATTGATCCATTCATTTGGTGGTTTCATCTTTAATTTGCTCCCTTATTTGTCCATTTTACATATATCTAAGGGACAACCTATTATTTGTTAGGATTCAGGAGTCGTCTAGGTATTAGAGATACCTCAGTGTATAAAAGACAAAAATCCTGCCTTGCTGCACTCCTGTCCACTGGGATGGAAATTGGTGACCACTGTATATAGTCATGTCAGATGGCATTAAGTGCTGTGAGAGAGTGGCAGCAGAAAAGCAGTGTGGGGAAGCCAGAGTCAGGGAGGGTTGTTCTCAGGGTTGTGGATTATTGTCAGGAAAGTCCTTCCTGACAATATTTGTTGAAGTGGGGTGCACTAAAGTTGGAAACAGAAAGACCAGTTAGCAAGCTATTGCAAAAATCCAGGTGAGAGGTCATGAAGGCTTGGGCAAAGGTGGTAGCTTTGAATGGGGTGAGAGGTCATAGGAGTCCAGATATATTTTGAAGGTAACATAAAAAATGGGCTTTCCTGATGGACTGGCTATGGAGTGTGAAAATTTACACTATAAATAAGGGAAATGTGAAGGATTTGACTTGGAACGTATTAAAGTTGGAACATCTATTAGACATCCAAGTAGAAATATAAGAATGAACTGAATATATTATTGAAGTTCAAGGTAGGGGTCTAGGCTGGTGATAGAGAAAGTGAGGGCTTTCAAGACCGTGTAACGAGCTATTAGTATCATTTTAAAAGATGTTTAGCCACTCTGGTCATGTATAAAGATTTCAAACAGACATTAAGAAAACAGAGTCTTTGCCTAGGTATATTAATGACACATAGTTAATAATTAGTATTCATCGAACACCCAATATACGTCAGGCTCTGTGTCCATTTTGCATATACATAATTTAATTTTGCCTCACTGCAACTCTGTGAGCTCAGCTCTAAAATCCTGACTACTCTTGAGGAAACCATGACTTAAAAAAACCAATGTGATTTCTTGAAGGTCATGTAAGTAACAAAAGACAGAACCAAGATTTGAATGAAAATCAAACACACATTTAGATGTTTGTAAATATTTTATTCAGTAGATATTTACATTTAATGTCTTTTTCTAGTTTCTCAGGAATGAGGTGCAGAAAATTATTGGGGAAAATTATTTTTTCTTAAAAACCAACATGACAAAATGCCTTCTACATCCTGCTAATTGTGATTAATATTAACAATTCTGTGTCAGTTTAACATTAAATAGCATATAAAACAAAAATGAATATTACCTTTATTCGACGGGAATTAAAAGTAATGCTGACAATCTTAAGCTATATTAACTCTCTTTTTTATCCCTAGGGAGAATCTTGTAAAAATTGAAATTAACTATAGTGACCTAAACTATAAGATAACCCAGCAGCAAAAGGCGGTGAGTGTGTCTGAGTTACTTGGTAAGTGTTATTTAATTGCTCCTTATTTTATTTATTTACTTATTTATTTTGAGACAGAATCTCGCTCTGTAGCCCAGGCTGGAGTGCAGTGGCGCCATCTTGGCTTACTGCAAGCTCCGCTTCCCAGGGGGTTCACACCATTCTCCTGCCTCAGCCTCCCAAGTAGCTGGGACTACAGGCACCCGCCACCACGCCTGGCTAATTTTTTGTATTTTTAGTAGAGACGGGGTTTCACCGTGTTGGCCAGGATGGTCTCGATCTCCTGACCCCGTGATCCGCCCACATTGGCCTCCTGAGGTGCTGGGATTACAGGCATGAGCCACCATGCCCGGCCTAATTGCTCCTTATATTTAAAAATTTTTATCAGTTTTTTTTCTTTGATATTTAAGGTTTAGCTTACCAGTGGAGGACAAGAATCAATTGAACTTGTCATTCAGCTGCTATTTAAATCTGACATATTTCCACTCCCTAGAAAACACTGTACAACCTCACATGGACTTTTATAAAGAAAAGGCTGGTGGTGTTTCATCTCCTACTCACACTCACATCAAACTTTACCATTAGATCCCTCATCAAGTGACTTTGTAGAATGTTTCAGCAATGCTACACCTGGGTAAATGTCAGCCACCTCATACCTCCACACAGGGCTCTACCCTAGAGTGGCTTAAAAAGAAGAACCTGAGGAAGCAAAATTAGGCAACCACTGCCTGCTCACTTGCCTTCTCCACAGTCCCTAATAAACATAATGGCTAATTTCCTAGATCTCACCGCATCTTAGAGGAAGCTGTGTCGGAGACAGAAGAAGGCCTTAGACTCAGGCAAAAGTGATAGCAGTCAGACATCACAGCTGAGACCCTGAATATGGAGGAAATATGTAAATTTGCCAAAGCTCTTGGAGAAGCCTATACTTCATTATCACACTTTACAAAAACGGAATGGTCCTAAGAATGGCCTAGGGCAATGAGATAATGATTAATAATGTAATCTGTTTATGAAAGCACTGCTGGAGTAATCAGATTCAGAGACAGAAAGTAAAAGAGTGGTTGTCATGGGCCGAGGAGAGGAAGGATGAGGAGTTAGAGTTTAATGCGTACAGAGTTTCAGTTAGGGAAGATGAAAACATCCTGCAAATAGATAAAGATTATGGAATGGCTGCAAAACAATGTGAACGTACTTAATGCCACAGTACTGTATACTTAAAAATGGTTAACATGGTAAATTTTAGGGTATATATATTTTACCACAATAAAAAAGCACAAACAGTAAATATAAGTACAAATTTTAAAATATCAAAAAGGCAATGTTATGTTAATTTTTGGTTAAAGGAAATATTATGAATGCATAAAAAGAAATACAGTTTTGACACTTGATGTCACAACTTGCTTGGAAATTAATTTTCTGGAAAACATCATCATCCAGTAGTGCCTTCTGGATGGCACTCTTCTGCTCTTCATTTAACACCTAGAAATGAGTTTGTAATTATCTAGAATCTCTAATGAATTTACCGAGATTTTATATCCTCCAGAGTCTTAGAGTTATATGTTTGGAATCAGATTTTATGTTTGCTTTTCTTCTCTGCTTTTTATGATGATTTGTATGAATACCACTTTGATATTACCAATTGCTATTACCTTATTCATATCAAATGTTAAAATAATAAAATTAACCAATCTTCATCTCAGTTATGACTCTATTTTGCTTCAACTAATTTAACTTCTAATAATATTTGTTTTTTATGAAAAATAATGACATTCAATCTTTATTGGTTTTATTACAGCAGATCTTGGTGGTCAGCTGGGTCTATTTTGTGGGGCCAGTCTGATCACGATCATAGAAATTATTGAATATCTATTCACCAATTTCTACTGGATATGCATTTTCTTTTTGCTGAAGATATCTGAAATGACCCAGTGGACTCCTCCACCTCAGAATCATCTGGGAAATAAAAATAGGATAGAGGAGTGTTAATGGTCACTTAGAATAAAATAGTTTCCTTTTCATGATACCTTCAGATTTATCTTGACTAATTCATTGTTACGTCACTTTTCTATAGTTTTGAGAGTTCGATAAAAGCCATTAAAGATATGTATCTCTTCATATATATTTCTTTCTATTTGTCTTTGTCTGTGTGTATATATATGTGTATATATATATGTGTATGTATATATATATGTGTATATATATGTGTATATATATATATATATATATATGAAATAAAGAAATAGGAATTATCTTTTTCACCTTTGTGTTCCCTCCACCTAGAACAGTCAAGATTATGTAATAGACATCTCATAAATGTTTCTCAATGAATGAATATTGGTGTAGTGGAAAAGAGACATTTTTTATGACTAAATATGTAAACTAGACCCAATAAATAAACTATACATGAGGAAACAAAATATTTCTTTATTCAAGAAATGATATGTATAATTTATGCTTTATAAAGTTTTAAAGAATTTTTATTTTCATTAAGATTCAACATACTTTTTTTTCCCTTTTATCTGGAGTGTTCTATTGTAAATGACTTTCGGAGGGACAGAAATCTGTTTCCCATACAGGTGGTACTTAACATCAATCTAAATGAAAATAAAGTTAAATCTGTACTATCTTGAAAATACATGGCATTTTCTCATTTTTTTCCCAAGTACTTCTATTTACATATTTAGTCCAGAGAGGAAACTCAGGAGTTTCAGTGTTCTCTCTCCCACTCGGGTAATAGATGTACTTTCGGTGTCTCAGAATATTCAATTAAAGGTGACTTTTAGAAGATTTCTCAAACATATTTAAGAAATAATAATCAAGTCAAAGAATCTATCCCCTAATTTATTCTTGGTGGTATTGCAATTTCTCCCAGATGTAAGAGAATAACTCCTAAAAGTCTTGATATTGTTTTCCAGCTTAATGATAAGCAAGTGCTAGTTCTGTGGGAATGAGGCCAGTGCAATTTCATGGTACTGACATTAGGAATACAAATATCTCATGACTCAGAAATCTCAATCTTGGGTAAATACTCTGGAGAAATTCTCCCATAGATGTGGCATGCAGCTTCTGACTTTATTGCAATTCCTCTATTTATCTTTTCTTTTTTGAGATGGAGTCTTGCTCTTTCGCCCAGGCTAGAGTGTAGTGGTGTGATCTCAGCCACTGCAACCTACGCTGCAACCTCTGCCTCCAGGGTTCAAACGATTCTCCTACCTCAGCCTCCCAAGTAGCTGGGATTACAGATACCTGCCACCACACCTGGCTAATTTTTGTATTTGTAGTAGAGATGGGGTTTCACCACATTGGCTAGGCTGGTCTCGAACTCCTGACCTCAAGTGATTCACCCACCTCAGCCTCCCCAAATGCTGGGATTATAGGCGTGAGCCTCCAGGCCCGGCCTACTTATCCAAATATTGATTCTAATTATAGCCATGTGTAACCCTTTGAATGAAATAACTTTTTTGCTTATCTGTAGTGGCGGAGATTATGAAAATGATGTATGGATGTTTTTTTTTTCCATCTCATTAGCTATCATTAGTGTTAGTGTATTTTATGTGTGGCCCAAGAAAATTCTTCTTTCAGTGATGCCCAGGGAAGCCAAAAGGTTGGACACCCCTTAATAAACTCAGCTAGAAGATACCATTCTTACCCCTTTTTTTCAATATATTGAAAAATCTTGAAACAATTTGTATTTTGAATGATTCATAGAAAGACTCCACAAATTTTGTTGTGTCTAACATAAAATGGGTCAAGTAGCAGAATATAATTGAGAAAACGCTCCTATTTTTTGAACTTGAGGAAGTCTGTATTTTAAGAAATATTAAGTATCACATATGGCTCATGAATTTATCTTCCAATATTCCTGGGATAAGAAAACGACAAATACATATGCAGTTGACCCTTGAACAATACAAGGGTTGGGAGCACCAAGCCCCTGTTCAGTGCAAAGTCCACATATCATTACGGACTCATCCAAAAGTTAACTACTAGTAGCCTACTGTTGACCGGAAGCCTTACCAATAACACCAACAGTCAATTAACACATATTTTATATGTTATATGTATTACACACTGTATTCTTTTTTTTTTTTTTTTTTTTTTTTTTTTTTTTGAGACAGAGTCTCACTCTTTTGCCCAGGCTGGAGTGCAGTGGTGGGATCTCGGCTCACTGCAAACTCTGCCTCCTGAGTTCACACCATTCTCCTGCCTCAGCCTCCCGAGTAGCTGGGTTACAGGCGCCCACCACCACACACGGCTAATTTAGTAGAGATGAGGTTTCATCGTGTTAGCCAGGATGGTCTTGATCTCCTGACCTCGTGATCCTCCCGCCTCAGCCTCCCAAAGTGCTGGGATTACAGGCATGAGCCACCGTGCCCAGCCTATACACTGTATTCTTAAAATAAAGTTAGCTAGAGAAAAGAAAATGTTATTAAGACAATCATGAAGAAAAGAAAACACGTTTACTACTCATTAAGTGGAAGTGGATCATTATGAAGCCCTCCATCCTGTCTTCTTCATGTTGAGTAGGCTGAGGAGGAGGAGACAGGGCAAGGGTTCGTCTTGCCATCTCAGGGGTGGCAGAGGTGGAAGAAAAGCCATGTAGTGCGGTTCAAACCCATGTTGTTCAAAGGGCAACTGTATTTTGAAAGAGATAAAATGGGGTTGATGTCATGGAAGAGCTAACTAGCTGAGAATGGAGATTATTAAATTTAAGCCTCCTTAAAGGTTTGGAAAAACAGATTGTCGATCAGTTTGGTTCCCACCAACTACATTTTATTTACAAGGTGACATGCCACTGCTATTAGTATGTACCTACATGAGGTAAGAAGCTTAACATTGTTTGTTATTATATCCCCTACCACCTTCAAAGTGGAATGAAAACACCTTTACTAAAATATGGGAAGAATGTGCTAGAGGCATGAAGAGCTGAGCTGACTCCTGAGTAAATACCTTATCTGAATATGAGGGATAGTGGAGCAGGAACACCTTTGAAACAGTTTCTGGGATATGGGGATGAGGATGAAGGTCCAAGGATACTCTCTGACTTTCTCGCCTCAAAAACATTTTTCTTATTTTACTTCATAGAGTTGTACCAGCTCTGGGATTGCACTTGTGTGCCCTGCATCCTGGGAAGAATCACCATGCAAACATTATGCTGATTCTTCAGAAAGTATAAATATTACCAAGGGAACAGATAGATCGAGTGAGGACTCCACATCATGTGGCTAATGGAGGACTGGCTGGAAATGCTGGCCCAGTGCCTCTGGTAGGAATAGTCCAGTAATCTTTACCTTTCTAACAGTACTCCTTCTTGAAAATGGACAAAAGGGGATGTTCAAGGAAGGCTGTTTCTGCTACTTGCCTGTAGATGGTAGAATGACTGAATGAGAAAAATCTCACCTGAAGAGGACAAGTCTGAGATGAGACAGGTGAAAATGGAAAGGGAGAAACTGTGAGAGATGGGAAGAGAGCACCTCAATGACAAATGGGAAAGGATGCTATTATTCTTTTCCTGAGAGAGAGCCTCAGAGAAAGATAGTTAAGACTCTTAATTCTCTCAAGGTGGGGTATGGGTCAGGATCCATGCTGAGATAACCCCTGGATTTGCTTTTCCCCAAAAGTGGAGAAGTGACCTGAAGGCAAACTCTGAAGTTAACCCAACAACTCTGTTTGAGTTATTCAAAGAAAGTGTATCAATCAGTATCCCTTGATGACCTGCCTAAAAGAAGAGCAGGTTGGAATCACAATTTGGGTTTTTTTTCCCTCAAGTTATGTTGATCATATTCATACTTCTGTATATCCATTTATCACTGGCGATTCACCCACAGAATATTCATAAAGGACCCAGGGGACCTGGCATTACTGGAAGCTGCCTGAAAAGATAATGTAGAGATACAAGGGACAATAGATGTTTCTACACTAATGGAGCATCCCCTTCCCAAACATCCTTGGAAAGAGCACATATCCTCAGTCAGGAAGGATTTGATAAGATCTTGATTGCAATAATAGAGCAGCAACATAAAAATAAATGAGCTATCAAGCCATGAAAAGACATGAAAGAACATTAAAGGCATATTGCTAAGTGAAAGATACCAATGTGAAAAGGCTACATACCATAGGATTCCACCGATATAGCATGCCAGGGAAGACAAAACTATTGAAACCATAAAGAATTTTGAAATATCAGTGATTGACAGGAGCTTGAGGGAAGGAGGGAAAAATGAATAGATGGAGCACACGGGATTTTTAGGGCAGTGAAACTAGTCTGTATGATACTGTAATGTTAGACACATGTAATTATGCATTTGTCAAAACCCATAGAATGTACAACACAAAGAGTGAATCCTAACATAAACTATGGACTTTAGTTAGTAATAAGGCATCAATATTGGCTCATCGATTGCAACAAAAGTACCACAATCATACAAGATGTTAATAATAGGGGAAACTGGGGGTGGTAGGTTAAGGGGGTATATGGGAGCTCTGTATTTTTCACTCAGTTTTGTGTGTGTGTGTGTGTGTGTGTGTGTGTGTGTGTGTGTGTAAACCTAAAACTGCTTTTAAAAGTGTATTTAGTCTGGGCAGGGTGGCTCACGCCTGTAATCCCAGTACTTTGGGAGGCCGAGGCAGGTGGATCACCTGAGGTCAGGAGATCGAGACTAGCCTCACTAACATGGTGAAACCCCATCTCTACTAAAAATACAAAAAATTAGCCAGGGGTGCAAATTAGCCAGTAGCTGCAATTTCAGCTACTCGGGAGGCTGAGGCAGGAGAATTGTTTAAACCTGGGAGGTGGAGGTTGCAGTGAGCTGAGATCGCACCCCTGCCTTCCAGCCTGGGCAACAGAGCGAGACTCTGTCTCAAAAAAAAAAAAAAAGTGTATTTAAAAGTTGGGAGGCAGTGGCTCAAGATGATAGAGATTCAGGCTAGAGGAGTACATTTGTAGGACTATTATGTACGGACTAAGCCAATGTCAATGATTCTCTGGTAAGAACACTCATGTAACATTGCTATTTCCTGGCCAGAGTGCTGCGAATGAACAAGGAATTTTCCCATTGTACATTCAATTGGTTGGGAAATAGATGGTCAGTGCTTCGTAATGATACCTAGTAATATGGTTTGTCTCTGTGTCCCACCCATATCTCATCTTGAATTGTACTCCCATAATTCCCATGTGTTGTGGGAGATAATTTGAATCATGGGGGCCGTTTCCCCCATACTGTTCTCATGATAGTGAATAAGTCTCATGAGATCTGATGGTTTTATCAGGGCTTTTTGCTTTTGCATCTCCCTCATTTTTTTTCTTGCTGACAGTATGTATGAAGTGTCTTTTGCCTCCCACCATGATTCTGAGCCCTCCCCAGCCATGTGAAACTGTAAGTCCAGTTAAATCTCTTTTTCTTCACAGTCTTGGCTATGTCTTTATCAGCAGCGTGAAAACGGACTAACACACCTGAAATCTTATGTTGTTGAAAAAATTTATTTCTTGAAGGCTGAGTTATGGTTATGCTCCCCCTATTGCAGATGGAACCTGAAGTTTCATAAGCCTCTGGTAACTACCATAGTAGCAGGAAATGCATGTTATATAGAAAATCTGTGCCGGAAGGTTTGAGAAATAACATGTTCATGTTAACAAATCAACTGAGGTATGGTATATAAAATAAAAATTTAATCTCTCCACTGAAGTTATATGTTATAATAAAAGATTTATGACTTTACTTATAGACTTAAATATAAATGAAAGGAGTAGACAATAATCCTAGAATGAAGATGTGTTTGTGGAAGGAAGTACCTGAAAATCTTGTTGATGTCATATCCATGGAGATTGAATGCCAAGGAAAAAACAAAATTAAGTTTGGAAAAGTTGTACCTGCAGTTAAATATCCCTAGCAAAACCTACTCAAAGGCAGGCAAATAATGGATAAGGAAGGAAATAAGTAGTTTAAGTGGTAAAGAATTATCACAAAAAAACCTATGAAATTTTTGGACATGGTTAACACAACTCAGATTTAACCAACATTATATTTTGGCATATTTCCATCCTATTTTATTTATATGAAATCATGCTATGTACATTAGTCTGAAAACTACTTTTCAATTTTACCTGTTTAAAGTGTGTTCATGTTAACAAATAAAGATGTGGTTTATTAAACTGTTGCACAAAATTACATCCATACATATATTATGGTTGATGGATTGATTTTCCCCTACAAATGCATATTTACATAGTTCCAAATTTCCACTTATAGCAAAAATACTGCAGTGAAATTCTGTATACATTACTTTTTGGTATGTACCTGGAAGTGAAATTGATAAAATGTTGTGGTATATGCATCTTTATCTTGACTACATATTGTCAAATTGCTCCCTGACATAACTGTACCAATTTATACAATCAATAGTAGCACATAAAAATTCAGAAATCCCCCATTATCTTGTGATAAAGATTTTTCCAAACTAATTTGTGAGCATTGATTTTTTGCTGTAAGAGCTCAGTAGGCATTGAAGGGCAGATGGAATTTGAGATGTCCTAGAGAACAGGAAATCATGGAAAAGTAGGAAGAAGCTGCAGCTGAAAGATGACTGGGTATCTGTGTAATTTTGATTGGATTCAGAAGATAGCAAACCTGCTACAGAAATTGTGATGCCAAAAGAGTCAACAGGGTGAATGAACAGTCACACTTATATTTTATCACCTGTAACATGATGGAGGGTATATTGTATGACTTTCAGGTAGGTATTGGCCAATCTACCTAATATAGATATTGACCAGCTTCTTAGGTTGTTTTGTTGTGGTGTGAAAAGATAATCGCAGTAAATGTCATAGTTACTAGGGAAAGAGTATTCTAAATAAGAATAGATTTCAGATAAGTGTTGGTGAATGAATTGTATTTTAACTATTTTTCTATAAATAGCGATCCTCAGAGGTTTATGCAATTTTTTTTATCGTGAACAAAGAACAAATATTTGAAATCATTCAGAAAACAAATAAATGTATGTAGTCAGCAAGAAATAAATGGCCAGCTTTAGAAAAGATGCCTAATGTAAGGACTGTTGTATTTACTTTGTTGCTTATCTTACTGAGTCATTCCATTACTAACATTCTGAAAGCCTAGTAGAGCTTCACTGCCTTCATCTGAAGGCAGAGTGAGTGTTGGCATGTAAGACATTACCTTTAGATTTAAGGTGATAGGAAGTTTCCTTCGAAGTCTCAAGACTTAGCAAGAATTTAAAGGGTCTCAATGGAATGCCTATATCCAAAATCAGAGTTAAGGATGAGAAATGGGAGGAAGAGAAGTCAGATGAGAAGGGATTTGTATCTCAAATTTTCACTAGAATCAACTGAGATAAATTTTACCAGAGTTGGAAGTAGGAGTAGGGAACAAATAAGAAAAAACATTAAACACTACCAAAGTGCCCAACAATTTCCATAACTGGTCCAGTAATTATTCCTATAATAGTGTCCGGCAACTTTTATGCCAATCCATTATTTCATCAGATCGTACACATGTGCACTAATTAAATGCCTGCAGAAAGAAGACTGTAAGTTAATTTTAAAAAATAACTCGAAGGATTCAAATGTCAATTTTAAATGACATTTAGAAATTCATAGGCTAACAAACCACAGCATACAATTCAGTTATACAGGTTTCTGTCAGTTACCACTAAGATGTCTTGAATAAATTAATATATTTTTCTAAATCACTGGCAGAGTTTCTGCCATTATTAATGTTGTAGAAAAAAACCGAGTCCTTGTCACATGACCATGAAAAGTTAGACACACAGACACTTTGAAGGATGAGGGGGGAACAAAATTTATTGGGGGGAAAGGAGAAAACACTCTCAGCAAAGCGTGAAGGGTTCCCATTAATAGGCCCCCATCTCACAGATTGAATCCCAGTCACTACCCAGGAATAAGAGAAGACAGTCTCCTCCCCTCTGCAAAGGGCGCTCAAATGTCCTGAGGCTCCACTCTGTCCTCCTAGTGCTTAGGTGGGCATTAATCAGAAAGAATCAGTTGGAAAAGGACGGGCCTCATGCCCGACCCTGCAGTCTGGTTTTTCAGCCTTCAGGCTGTTTTAGGCTTGAAGGCAGGGTTTCTCTGGGGGATCCTTGGCTACCTGCTCTCTCTGTCATTAAGGACAAGTCAAAGTCACCTTCAGGTTATGTCCCTTGTCCTGCTATGCCCTTTACTCAAAGGGTAATTGCTTGCAACAGAAATGTACTATATCCTTGTTTCTTTCTCTTGAATTCTAGTTGGGAAACAAGCCCTCACATTAATTTTTTTTTTACAAAGAAGAAAGAAAAGAAAAAGAAAAACAATACATGATTTATTTTCAGACTGTTTATTGTAAAAATTAGTTCAGAGAAGATAAAGAGAAATAATTACTAAAGTTTTTGAGTTTCTCAAAACAGTTGAATCCTGCAGACTGGATTGTTAGAACTTGGGTAAATAAAGAGAAGGAAGCTTGAAAGCAAATGCCAGCAGCAGCAAATTTGCATTTACATAGTGTGTTTGCAAAACAGCAAGAAGATTAGCTTAGAAGAATTGGAAGGGGAATAAAATTGAGTAATCAGAAGTCCTTTTGGATCAAAAGAGAATGAATAGATTATGGGGATTTTTGAATTCTTATCCAAGATCTTCACCCTACCACAAATTAAGAAAGAGCTACTGCAGTTTCTTAAATGAGGTGGTCAGATTGCAGTTACGGCCAGAAAGGAAAGTAGGCAGTATAGTGCCAAATGTTGGCAAGGAATATAGGAATATGAGAATTCTCATGCACTAGTGATGGTAATGACCACAGGTACAGCAATTCTGGAGATCATTGCGACAGTACTTAAGGCAAATTAAATATACACATAATTAGGACCCAGCAATTTTACTCTCGGAGAATGTGTGCATGTGGGTATGAGTGTGTGTGAGTGTGTGTACCACGTATGTATGTATATAAAATTTCTCTAGCAGGAATTCTCACATAAAAACATGAAGAGACACATACATCACAACATTGGGAGTTGGGCACATTCTGGGATCCATTAGTAAAAAATATTACTTTGTAGACTGTTATATTGATGACCCCCATACCTCCCAGTATTCATACGCTTTGGTAATCTTCTTCCACATTGGGCTTGGCGTTGTGTTTCATTTTGACCAAATGGGTCAAATGTTATGTAGAGGCTTATTAAGAGCTTGCATTTAGGGGCTTGTCCCTTTGAACTACTTGGATCCAGCTGCCATGTTTAGGTCACATACTGTTGAAAAGGTCCTGTGGAGGAATATTGAGATACGTAAAAAACGGCTAAAGTCTTCTTGGACAGTTGCCAGCTAAATATAGCTGAATGAGTGACTCTAGCCAAGGCTATACAGAACAGAAGCAGCACCCAGATGAATATGCTATTTTAAACCACAAAATTTATATTAAAATAACATAGAGATATGAAAATATACAGCAAACAAGGGAAGGATAACAACAACAACAAACAAGAGAAAGAGAGAGAGAGAAAGAGAGAGAAAGAGAAGAAGGAAGGAAGAAAACCAAGTGGCTGCTGCTACATTGGAAATTGCATGATTGTTGTCTTGTGAATGATTCTCTTAAAGGTGTCTATAAGCACTCATTATTAACATGATTTAGAGAAGGGAACGACACACGGTTGTATCAGGCATGGTCTTATAGGTATGATATAGACAAGTGTAGAAAAAAATCAAGCTTGGTGATCTAGGCATGCTGGGGACAAAGAACTACATGCACAAATACCTCTAATACACAGAATATATGACTCTATTTGGTCAGAGGTGGTCAAAAAGTCCACAAAACAAAGAAGAAAAATCCCCTCAGAACACCATTTCATTAGTAAATGCTCAACCACAATAAATATTGCAAAAGAAATGGAAATAAAAGAACAAAAAATACTGTGTACATTAACAGAACACTTATATCTTTATTACACATGTGTTTCAAAGTGTTTATAAAAGCAAACATCCCACCACCAGACACCAAAAAATACAAATATGCCATAAAATCATAATATACAATGTGTATACAATATTGTATATACAATGTACTACCTATGAGATTTTTTCCATATAATTCAATATATAGATATATCATTAAGTTTTTTATAAGTTAAATTTGTTTTCATTTTTAATTATTACAAATCATAATTCAATGAACATTCTTAATCACAAAATGTTCTGCCCATTTCATATTATTTTCAGAGAATAAATTTCAAGAATTTCTTGATAACATTTAATGTGTTTTTTATGTATTTCCAAATTACCCTTCACACAGTTAAATACAAAGTAGTAGTTTAGGAGTATGTCCATTTTCCTGTATTGTCAACTAGTCAACTGCAAATAGAGTTTTTGGTTTTATTTAGAGACAGAGTCTCTTTCTGTCAGCCAGGCTGGAGTGCAGTGGTGTGATCATAGCTCACTGCAGCCTTGAACTTCTGGGCTCAAGGGACCCTGTGCCCCAGCCTTCCAAATTGCTGGGATTACAGGCATGAGTCATCACATCTGGCCGGTTATTATTTTTATATTCTTTAAAAATAATTTATATAAGCAAGGATATCACTGTAGCATTGCTTATAATAATTGAAAATTGGAATTAATCCAAATATCCAACAAAAGAAGAGTTGTGAAAAACTTGTGGATAAGCTATATGATGAAATAATACATAGTCATCAAAAACCATTACCAGGAAGCAGGGAGCAGACAACTGCCAAAGGCATAAAAAGGTTTCATGAGTGAGAATAACAATGCATGCAGGATATTTCAAATATCTCCTTATTACATTGGATTGACGGATAATTATGAACTGTCTCAACTTCCCTGGGACATACATTTTCTTTCTTATAATTAAACTCATAGGTACTAAAAGGCTTGATTGCTCCTGGTACACTCTCCTTTTGGTTTCTGGAACATAAGTAACTTGAACCTGTCATGAGCCCAAATACTGGCAGTCTCTCCCTGAGCTGCTTTTCTTTCAAATAGTTGCAATACCTACCACACAGCATTCCAGTGTTTGCTCACTCATCATCTTTGCCCTTCATTGAGGCCAGCCCCAACTCTCAATTTCCAAATTGCAAGTAGCCCCACCCCATCCTTGCACTCCTGATCTCCTTTCCTCTGTGCTTAATTTTTTCCCCATAGAATACATCGTCCTCTATCATTTAATTTATGGTTATATTATTAGGTTGGTGCAAATTATTTTTAATGGCAAAAACACAATTACTTTTGACCCAACCTAATATATTTATGGTGTATTTTCTGTCCCCCTCTGCTAGAAGGTAAGCCCTCTGAGGGCAAGGAGCTCTGTTTATTTTCCATCAATCTAACCTATGCTCTTAGACGAGAGTCTGGCATGTTGTGGGAGCTCAATTAATATGTGCTGAATGAACAAGTAGGTCTTGCTTCAGTGTATTAGGGCTGTACCATGTAGGCAACTGAAATGCACAAGAAAACTGGGCTGTACCTCACTACTCAATCCATCCTCAGCTTCTGAGTGTCAATGTCTGGCTATGCTAAAATGGTTGAGAAAATCATGGTCCAGCTACGGGATGAAATTTTATGTGAACATTAAATACTCACTCTATGTGGAAAAATGCTTAACTATGATATTGAGCGAAAAAAGGACTTGATATTGTGTAATCTTTTACAAAAAAAAAAATAAACTGGGGAAAATACTGTAACCAAAAGCATGGGGTTATTCCCTGAGAATACATTGAGAAAAAAAACCTTTTCTATTATACTAAGGATGGTGTAACAGAGAACCATTTTTAAATACACGAACCACTTTTTATGGTAAAGGGAATTTCACAAAGATATAGAATAGTTTAACCTGTTGATTAATTTCACTCCACGTTAGATCCATTACTCCAACTCTCCAAATTCTCTCCTTCCCTTGCCCCAAGTACTGATCTGTTCATAATTATTTTTATTGAAATCATTCTGTAAGGAAGAATTGACCTTTATCCCTCATTTATTTATTATTTAAGTCATTTACTTACATAAATATGAATTCAGGAAGTTTTCTTAATTATATGGGATATAATCCAATACTGTCATTAATAATTTTACATTATTAATTCAAATCAGATTCATATGAATCACTGAGCAAATCAGGTTCTTTCTTCTCTTGCAATCTGATATAGAAAAATGGATGAAGATTTTATATTTTGGTGACATTTGATATTTGTTTTCAGTATAATTTGGCAGCCTAAATAACTTATGCTTGGCAAAACGGTACTTTGTGGTCATGAAAACAGTATTATTCAATGGTGTTAGTGATGGTAAAATATTGATACTTTTTTGTTGTTATTCAGCTTAATTCATGCATTAGTTTTAAAAGGAGCAAAACTTTCTAAATGATTGTTTAATGATGTAATGATGTTTTAATGATTATCATAATATATTGATAGTAATTTAAAATCAATTTAAATCTAGTCATTAAAATGTGGATAAACATATACAATCCCATATAAATAACGTGTAATTCCTAAATTACTAAGTGAAAACCAGAGGGGGCAAGGTACTTTTTCTCTTCACTTAGAGTGGTTGTTGCTTATGGCAAATATCTGCAAATGACGTTCTCTTTTACGGCACCATTTAGAAGAAAGTGCATACATTATGCCTGAATGCTGGGATGTCTTCATATATATCAACAATGTTTTATTATCTGGTGGTAAGGATAATTGCTAACAATTTAAAAATTATTCCCTTAACTTCATAATAAATTGTGATAAGTTCTAGACATCAATAATGCAAGAAAACGGACGATAACTTTAGGTAGGCCAAGAGAGATTTAGAGGCACTGGGACTTGGTGAAGAGTGAAGACAGAAAGATTCCTCGCTGAGGTGTCCTTTGGCTGGCACTGGGACGCCATGTGATTGAATATAGCCACGGGAATTTAGAAACTTGAGAAGAAGCATTTTTTTTTTTTTTTTGAGACTGCACTCTGTTGCCAGGCTGGAGTGTAGAGGCGCGATCTCAGCTCACTGCAACCTCTGCCTCCCGGGTTCAAGTGATTCTCCTACCTCAGCCTCTCAAGTAGCTGGGACTACAGGCACCAGCCACCATGCCCAGCTAATTTTTGTGTTTTTAGTAGAGATGGGGTTTCACCATTTGGCCAGGATGGTCTCCATTTTTTGACCTTGTGATCTGCCCACCTCAGCCTCCCAAAGTGCTGGGATTGCAGGCAGAAGAATTTTTAATCTTGAGTGTTTTATATTCTGCGCAGCTATTCCCTTCTGATATTATCCTTCAAATGTTCAACAATGCTTTGTTAAAAACTACAGCATGGCATCAGTCATGGATGTGCACATGTATATGATGAGAAGGCCGTTCCAGTAAATAAATCTACAGCCAATGCACAAAACAGACCATCAAGTGGAAAACACAGATACTTTACAAGTTGTACAAACGACATTCTTCTTCACCAACTCTTCTCCAGTATTTGGAGGAAGGATACCTGACAATTCTGAACCCCTACTCTGTGACAAGGCTCTGGAACTGGCTACTGGAGCCAATGAGTGGATGTGCAGTGTCTGACCTAATTTCTCCCACAGTCTATTTGACCAGAAGACAGTAAATCATTAAAATTGTAACGGATAGAAGAATAGCAATGGTCTTTTACTCAGATGCTATGGAAGCACAGACCTAACTGAGATTGGGAAAGCTGAAAAATTTCTTCTATATTTCTGGAAGAACCTGTTATAAGCCTTAGAAAGAGCCCCCTCCCTGCCCCAAATTTCCTTTGTCAGAAGCCCATACAAATAAGATTGAAATGCTAGTCATGGTGGCAGAGTGAGGAAGACTAAGGCTGACTACCTTTATGGAGGATTCCTTCCACATCCAGCAAGACTGCTCTCTTAGCAGATGCCTTAATGGGAGGATACAGTCAAGGACATGCTTTCCCTACTTGTACAGCTCATCAGGGTTTGCTGTTGGAGTTCATCAGTCCCCAAATCTGAAAACTCTAGAACCAATCTGGGTATCAGGCAGAAGAACGTAAGCCTTTTATACACAGAGGGGCGAATTAGCATCAGGCTGTTTTTCCTCCTGCACAACATATAGGTTCTCCCGGTCTAGCCTTTATAATCGCTGTCTTGTGATCCATCTTTAGGGGAACATGTTTGCCTTCCCTGCCTCAGCCCCCACTTCTTGTGCCCCAGCCTTCCACATCCTGTTGTTCAGAGTTAGTCGTAAAGTTTAGGGCCAATACCACCTGCCATATCTTCTTCACACTCCTTGCCTGCTTGCCTGACTAGAACTTTGTTACCTGACACACACTCATCTGGTGTTAAAACGCCCACCAGATGTACGCCACTTGCCAGCCGCTTGCTTATTTTGCTATGAGATGCATCCGAGCATCCTAGTTGGAAGCTTGGGCTCTGGAATCCATTTGTCTGGGTATGGATACTGGCTTTACCCACTCACTCTCTGTTTAACATTTGGGCAGTTCCCCAAACTTTATGTGCTCCAGTTTCCTCATGAGTAAAATGGAGTCGATAATAAGAGTATATACTTAATAAATTGCTGCAAGGATTAAACATGTAAAACGTTCAAATCACCATTGAACTTGCAGTGACTGCAGGATTGCTCCCTGATTTCCATGCTGGTAGTTGTGAGCCTGAGGGCAGCAGGGATCTGGTCACCACTTATCTCAACTCTCATGTCTGTTGTTTGATGGTCAGTTATAATACAGCACAATATTTAAAGAAATATATATTTTAAAAGCAAATTTTATAACTTTTATTATAGTATTAACACTATCTTTAAAAGAACTCTTTTTAAAAGTGCTTTACATGTCAAGAAATCCAACAAGCTGTATACAATGAGTTTTGAATTTCAAACATTCATGAATCAGGAAGAACTTTTGGTAAATTCACAAAAAGACATATGGTCAGTGTGACAGGAACATTTGCTCCTCCTGAGGTCTGAAGGGTTCTGAACTTTCTGATACACTTTACTGAGCACAAATCAAGTGAAAATTGTTCCTGTGTATTCAAGGGTACAAATCTTTTGGTAGTCAACTTTTGCATAATTCTCTTTCAGTTAATACTTTGGTAATATTACTGTCAAGTGCAAAAAGAGTAAGTTGGGTTGACAGGGAAAGAACCTTTAACAGGAATACAAATGAAAAAAAGAAATATGATGTGGGTGGTAACTGACTGATGAACTAGATCTTTATAAAGAGCCTTAACTTTGTCAAAAGATAATAGGTGCTTCTTAGTGCTTTATAATTGCTTCTTATTAAAAGACTGCAAAAGAATTGTCAGGTGAACATGTAAGATCCTTTATCATCTCAAATCATGAAGTTGCTAATGTTAGCAACTTATAAAATAGTACACTTTCTTTTCTGCAAATGTTGTTTGAGAAATACCTCATATAGAACTCATTTTCCTTTATTACTCTTTTTATCACCATTTATATTATGTTGTAGTATATAGAATGTTAGAGTTCAAAAGAAACACTCTATTCAAAACTACATCTTATAAATCAGAATAAAAAGTATAAACCTTCCTATACTCTTTTTTCTTAATTTAATGACCCCTTCAACTACTCAGCTACTTGTTTTGTTTTTATAAATAACAAGGTTGATCCAATCTTCTGGTAAGGAGGAAACAAAACAATCAAGTATCTAAGATGATTGTTTTGGATAAAAGATCCAATCAATAACCTGTATATGTAGACCTGCACTGTTCAATATGATAGCCACTAGCTTCATGAGACCACTGAGCACTTGAAAAGTGGCTGGTCTGAAATTAGATGTGCTGCAAAATGTAAAATACACACTGATTTTAGTGTATAAATACACACTGATTTTAAAGTGTATAAATACACACTGATTTTAAAATGTATAAATACGCACTGATTTTAGTGTATAAATACACACTGATTTTAAAGTGTAGAAATACGCACTGATTTTAGTGTATAAATATGCACTGATTTTAAAGTGTATAAATACACACTGATTTTAAAGTGTATAAATACACACTGATTTTAGTGTATAAATACACACTGATTTTAAAGTGTATAAATACACACTGATTTTAGTGTATAAATACACACTGATTTTAAAGTGTAAAAATACACACTGATTTTAGTGTATAAATACACACTGATTTTAAAGTGTATAAATACACACTGATTTTAAAATGTATAAATACGCACTGATTTTAGTGTATAAATACACACTGATTTTAAAGTGTAGAAATACGCACTGATTTTAGTGTATAAATACGCACTGATTTTAAAGTGTATAAATACGCACTGATTTTAAAGTGTATAAATACACACTGATTTTAAAATACACACTGATTTTAAATATTTAATTAATGATTTTAAATGTATTACATGTTGAAATGATCATATTTTGCTTATACTGAGTTAAATAAAACATATTATTAAAGTCAATTTCACTGGTTTCTACCTTTTGAAGTGTGGCTACTAGAAATTTTTAAATTTAAAAATCCATGTCATATGTGACTTATATTTGGGCCTCACATTGTATTACTATTAAACCATGCTGTTAGACATTACCCTTGCAGTGTTCTTTTTTTTTTTTTGAGATGGAGTTTCGCTCTGTCGCCCAAGCTGGAGTGCAGTAGCGCTATCCCAGCTCACTGCAATCTCCTCCTCCTGGGTTCAAGCCATTATCCTGCCTCAGCCTCCTGAGTAGCTTGGATTACAGGCACGTGACACCACGCTCAGCTAATTTTTGTATTTTTAGTAGAGACGGGGTTTCAACATGTTGGTCAGGCTGGTATCAAACTCTTGATCTCGTGATCCGCCCACCTCGGCCTCCCAAAGTGCTGGGATTACAGGCATGAGCCACCGCGCCTGGAAGTTTTCTAAACAGACTTAAAAACACTGTGCTTTAGAGGAAAAAATAGTTATACTAACACATTAAGAAATTGCAACCTCCCATTATTCAATATCCTGTCCAATACTTGCGATTGAGGATATACAATTATTAAACAGGTGCCAAAATCACCACTGCACACACAAACTAGCACTGTGCAAAAGGCTTCCAACACCAGACACACTTAACTTCATAATGCTTCCTGCCTGTAATGCTTCTTCTGGCTACTGGCTTCTTTGGACAGACCACTAGGGTTTTTTGTCAGATCAATTTGAAATCTACATATTTCCTGAGACTTGTATTTTCTTCAGGCCCTGCCCTCACCTTGTCTTGGATTCCAGGACACAAACTTCTCAGGGGACTCCCCTGACCCCCCCTCTTCAGAGCCCCAGTTGCCCGGGAGCAGAGGACTCAGTCGCTGATTTCACCCATGCCTGCCTTAGACTGTAATGATTTTTACACAAAAATAAACAAAATATCTTTGATTACGTTATTTGTACTAGTACATCTAAAACTGTATGTAGTCACAGTGTCAGATTTAGGTACTGTTGTTGTCCAGAACAATATGATGGTATTATATTCATGGGTATATAAAAATTATTAATATATTGACATTTATTCATGTGATGCAGAAAACCACAAAAGGGACAGTATTTACAACAGTTTAAAAGTGTTTTCTAAGTTAATACTTTAATTTTATGTGACTCCTTTCCCCCTAATGATCTAAAACTGTTTGGTAGGCAACTGTGGTCACTACTTTACATAATTGGGAAATATATTTCATAAGAATAACATTTTAAAAACCCCAACCTATATGTAATACTCACTGATATTTTTTACCTGTAATTTTTTTTGAGACAGATTCTTGCTCTGACGCCCAGGCTGGAGTGCAGTAGTGATCTCAGCCCACTGCAACCTCCGCCTCCCAGGCTCAAGTGATTGTGCTGCCTCAGCCTCCCGAGTATCTGGGATTACAGGTGCCCATCACAACATCCGGCTAATTTTTGTATTTTCTGTAGAGACATTTTCACCATGTTGACTAGGCTGGTCTCAAACTCCCGACCTCAAGTGATTCACCTGCCTTGGCCTCCCAAAGTGCTGGTTTACAGGCGTGAGCCACCATGACTGGCCCCTATATTTAAGCCCTATTTGGGATAGACTGTACCACAGCAATTGTGTGAGTACATATAATTGAAATAGAGACATACATTCTCTCCTTGTTTTCAGGTCATCAAGAATGTGACTGTTTATTAAACACTTAAATTTAGCTAACATAATTAAATATTATAGGGCACATTTTTAGTAGACATACATAACATTAATACTCATATACACTAATCAGGACCTTAGTCATTTTGATTTTAGCTTGGAGTCAAAAGTCCTCACCAAGTGTTTACCTCAGATTTGTTTATTTCTTGGAAGTTAGCTTTCAGTCTTTCGGTTGATCTATTCAACACTACTAGATTGTCAAAACTTTAGATTGTATTCCCAAAAGTTTCAGGCCAAAATCCTAGCACAAGAGTTACTGGAAAAGGGTACTGATCCAGACCACAAGAGAGAGTTCTTGGATCTCATCCAAGAAAGAATCTGAGGTGAATCCACAGAGTACAGTGAAAACAACTTTATTAGGAAAGTAAAGGAGTAAAAGAATGGCTACCCCATAGAGCAGTGGCATGGCTGCTGGACTGAGTAAACTTATGATTATTTCTTGATTAAATGCTAAACGAGGGGTGGAATATTCATGAGTTTTCCAGGAAAGGAGTGGAGAATTCCCAGGACTGAGAGTTACTCCCCCTTTCAGACCAGATAGAGTAACTTCTGATGTTGCCATGGCATCTGTAAACTGCCATGGCGCTAGTAGGAGCATCTTTTAAACTGCTAATTTATTATAATTGGGATATAATGAGCAGTGAAGATGACCAGAGGTGGCTTTCACTGCCATCTTGGTTTTGGTGGGTTTCGGCCTGCTTCTTTACTGCATGGTGTTTTATCAGCTGAGTATTTGCTTAACTACTGTTCTACAATAATCTGTATTATTATCTTTAAAGCAAAACGTATTCTTAAATTAAGAATACATTTATTCCTAAGATATTGGGACACCTGGACATTTCCTGGGTCTGTTAAGTCCTGGGTCTGTTTGGTAAACATTATTAACCTATTCCCTTAACTGTAGACATTCTGTGACTAAGAATGCCCAACGTCCTGGGAACGCAGCCCAGCAGGTCTCAGCCTCATTTTACCCAGCCTCTGTAAAGATGGAGTCACTTTGGTTAGAATGCTTCTGATACAAAAACCCTGGAATTGTTACCAACGAAATGATGGAATTTTGGAGCAATAATTTAGTTTGGATATCACCTTAACCAGCTCCTTTTTTTCAGATGAGGTAACTGAGTTGTAAAGTTAAGTGACTTGTAAAGGCCACAAGATTTCCTCACCAGAATTGGACTCAGGTTCTTGATTCTCTGTACGGTGCTTTGTTTTTTGTTAAATTTTGTTTTGTTAACTCACACTATATTTCTTCTCTTTGATACGGTATAAGTAGCAAGGAAGAATCACAAAAGCATTTTCTATTAATGTAAAATAAATTTTTTTCCAATTTTATCCTTATAAGTAAATAGTATCCTATTTCTATTTAATAACTTTTAACATGAGCTACAAGCAAGTTAGTTTACTCATAAAAATATTGTACAAAACTATTGTTCCTATTACAAATTGCTTGTTTTAGCAAATGTTTTTACCTTCCTGCAGAATTAGCAGGAAATATTTTGGTGACATTTCAGAGCAAGATACGTGTGGATAGATTTCATGCTATACAAATGGTCTTAATGAGTAGAAATAATTATTTTTATTATATTCCTTTGAACTTGAGAAAGAGTGGAAGGAGTGAATTCAAGGTTGCACACAGGAAGTGACAGCTAGGAGACAAGATGAACTCTGTCCTGTGAGAGAATGTCTCCTTTCAGTTCTTTTTCAGATTTCAATTACAAACAGCATTCTCTGCTGCCCTCTAGAGGTTCTATAAACCATTAGTGAGGGTGGTACAAAAAAAAAAAGAAAGAAAGAAACCTATGAGGGAGGTAAGCAAATTATTTTTCCTTTCAATGACAAAGGAAATAGAACATATCATTTGGTGAATCAAATACAGATTTAAACTGAATGAAATAGTGAATTAGTGCTAAGATACATATAATATATGTAATCTATAATATAATAAATATATAACTTATATAATTAAAAATACATACCTTTAAAATGGTATTTAATTGTTAAAGTTTAAAACAATTCAGTTCAAACTGATAAACTGTTATCGTTTCACAACATTTGGTTCTAATTTTTTGGTGGTTTCCACTGGGTTTGTTTCAATAATTGGCAAAGATAAATGTATTTATTGATTTTTCTTGTTGACCCTCCTGTTTTTTCATGACATGTGCTGTCCATGATTCAACTATAACAATATCTGTTACCAAAGATTTGTAAGTTTTCATTTCTTAGATTACCTTTTAGTCTTTCTGAAATGGCAAGCCAAAGTTCCAACTCCTCTGACTTCTTCGTATTTCAGTTTGATCTGCCAACAACTCTAGTGAGTGGTTATTATAATCTCTGTCTTTACAATGACCTAACCAGGTTACACAAAGGTTAAATGACTTTACCAATATCATGGAGCTAGTAACAGGTTGTTTGGAAATTCAAAGCAGTTTGGCCCAACTTGGAAAAAAAAGTTCTATTCTCTCCTCGCATTAATGCTACCTGAAAATCATTGTTTTTTAAAAATGTATTCACCAGAACTTCAAAGCCATGCCTAATATTAGGCACCTTTCCTCTAAGCTCAGTTACCTTTCTACATCCTCCACCACGTGTAATGGAACCATCAACTACCCACTAAGCAAGCCAGAAGCTTTCTACTTGGCCCTAACCTTCTCATCCCCTTTGGCCTGTGCGTTATTATGCACTTTTAATGTGAATCTTGACTGCTCTTCAATTAGCCTCCTGTCCTGCCATCACCTTAAAGCAGGCCTATGCATGAAGTACAGTAGCCCCCTAATGCCAACCTTAAACCAGGCTCTTTCCCTCTAAATTAGCCCCTGCACCAATGTCAGCATGATTTTCTCTAAGCACAAGTTTAACAGTGCCATTTTTGTGCCTCCTCTTTTCTCCAATCTATCTCATTTCTTATTCCTCCTTCCCTTTAAATCTGGCTTCTAGCCCCACTGCTCGAAGAGGCTGCTCCCTCCATTCCTTTGTTCAACAAATATTTGTCAAGTGCCTATTTTGTGGAAGGTTCAAGGAATATCTGGTGTAAGAGGAACTAATTTAGCCATAAGAAACTTAAAGCCTAATAAGGAATCCTATATATAAACAGATAATATGTGAACCATTGTAAAGATCCTGGGACAATAGGGGAAGCTAAACTTTCCTAACAGGGAAATTTCCAACAAGAGGATATTGAGCTGAGTCTTAGCAAGAAATGAATTTGCAGCAGAGTATGGGTAGAGGGTATTCAGACAGAGCAGAGCATAGAATTACAAAGGTAGCAACTAGCAGATAAGGCTGGTTAAGGTGACAATGTTTACATGCTTTGCTAAGGTGTACAGACAATGAGTAGCATTTAAGTGATTGTACGCAGGAGAGCAATTTGGATTTGTAAAAGACCACTCTGGCAGCAATTTGAGAGTGTGGAATGGAGGTGGCAAAGGTAGGAAATAGACAGATTTATAGGGAAGATCTTGCAATTGTTCAAGTTACACATGATGAGTGCCTGGACTTCGAAGAGTGTTGGCGGAATAAAGTAGAGATTTAAAAACATGCAAGATGTAAAAATTGGAATATGAGGTATTCAAAGGCAGAGATGTTTTGTTCAATGACATTTCTCAAATATCTTGAGCAGTACCTACCCAAAGTAGATGCTAAATAAATATATGCAGGATTCTGGGAAGATGACAGTGTCAATGTAGTTTCTGAGTATTCCTAACTCTCCCCCCAAAATAAGCATAACAACTATCCCCACTTCACCTCTTTTCTTTCAAGTTACTCTTTCTCTAAGTATTATTTCTGCATTTGAATATATTTCTTCATTATGAATATCGCATATTTTCATTACTTGTATACATGTCTATCATCCCTAAATGATTCAGAGCTCTTTAAATAAGCTGATGACATTCAATATTTAACTGTTTCCCCTTTCCATGCCCAGTCTTTATTTCCTGTCACTCTGTTGGTATTAAAAAGAAATATAGCATTTAAGAATATGCTGTCTATGAGGAGTCAGTGAAAATTTATAATGGTAGCAAATAGGCAAAATTGTAAAATGTATTTACAAAATAATGGCATTAATAAAATGAAAAATAATGTTAATATTTTTATTGAAATAAAAACTGTATAGAGACACGTGAAAAAAATAATTTATTACAGACTCTTTTACACATTAACATGGAACATTTATACATATATCGATGTGCTGATATGAAATACTAAATTTAAAGGCAAACATTTTTACACAAAAGTAGTTGCACTCTATTTTATAAAGATAGATATTAATAAGTTATCAGAGACATTTAAGAGCTAGAGGCCAATTATTCCAACAGTAATGCATTCTATGCTGAAAGTAAACTAAGTTTTCTGAACATGATGTCCTGGATATAATCACATTCTTCTAAGCTAAGGAAAGGGAGCTCATTTCTGGGAATACAAGGCCAAGAAGGGCTCTAACAGCAGTATCCCAGCAGTGTGTTTCCAGATTTATTCTTGGATGTGGTTGGAGCTCCCAACATTTAGCCTGAACTAATGTAACAGCTCAATGTGAAACAATGCAGCTTTCTGTAACAGCTGCCTGTGGTTAATGAGATTTAATACAGGGGATACAGTTACAAATGATAGCATTTTAGAAGAATTATAATTGCCATATGATTTGAATTAGTAATCAAATACTTTAATAACAGAAACGTGTATTCTATATTTCTGAAAGGGAAGTAGCATACTTCAAAATAGTCACTATTTTCTTAGCATGATATGTTAATTCTTACTTTGGGAGTCTGAAAATAAATTGCATTTTTTCCCCTAAAACTTAGAATTCACTCCTTTAGAAAATGATTTCTATAATGATATACACCAACATGATATAAACTTTATTACATTATAGTCATTAAAATATACATATACATATATGTGGAACACTAAACAGATTTGGTAAACATGATATAAATATACACATGGCCAAACACTGTTCAGTTTCATTTAACTAAATTCAACAAATATTTATTGGGTGCCTACTACTTGCAGATCACCATGTTAGGTAATGCTTGTAGTAGATTTTAAGACACATGAAGCTCACATCATCCACATCAAAAGCCAAACTTTAGATAATATACTAAAGCCTAAAAAGTAATAGAAAGCAGAGCTAAGGTTGAATAACGGATAGTGAGAGATATATCTAGAAGAAAGTCTTGGGGTAATGGACAAGGACAAAAGAAAATCTGTATCCATAGGGAAGAACTGCTCCTGGGCTTGGCACGTGTTAGGAGAAAACTGGAACCTAGTCTGTACTCCTCTTCACCCCATAATCCAAGATTCAGTCATCATCCTGCTTTGTTTCCTTAAATAGGCAGAAGAAAAGAGGGATTGATTTACAGTGATAGTGAGGTTTATAATATCAATTAAATATATTTTTCTCTTTATGAGAGTGTGATCCACGTTCACATCTACAGTTTCTGTAAATCATTCCCACCATAATTCTGGGAAAAACAGGACCGCACGACTAAGATGACCAATGTTTGAGGTAATTACGGCTTAGTTTATCAGAAGAACATCAATAAGCATGTCCACCTCATAGGAAAATGATTTAATGTTAAACCAGGTGAAAGAAGATAAATATTTCAAACCCTGGCATTCTATTCCCTTTAGAAGTTGTTATGCCCTAAAAGCATCTTTAGAGAGTTTATACACACTAAAAGAGAAATATGAGCATGCAGTCTTATCCCCCATGAGGAAACAACACATCAACAGGGTAACAAAGTATCAAACTTGCTTCTGATGCCACTCCTTACAAAAGGCTAGGAAGAGGCTAGCCATGATCTTAGTGTGTGCAAGGCCTCTATGAGAGGTGTGATTCCACTTTGGATGTGCCACTGTTCTGAAGTCCATTCTAGCACATGGGCTCTGCCTGGAGTATAACCATAGTAGTAGAAAGAACTTAAATCTTCCCTAAGGAATTAATCAGATTCTAGCAAGTTAAAAATCACTCATCTATCTAGGAGAAACACATGAGGGACTAGGATTTCCAAAATTCCCCAATCACTCCATAGAAAGATAGCCTGCCCCTTAAAAGGATCTTAAGCTTCATGGTTAAGAAACCTCCCATGAACCACAGCCCTTATCTGTGGTGATCTCAGAGCCAACTTAGAGAGCTGAGGAAAGGGGTCAGGGGAGCCCCTCACAGCCCACTTACCTTTGAGCCAGACTACAGAGGAAGAGCAAAACAACCACAACAGCAAGAAAAAAAGCAGCCTTCTCAATCCAGTCTGTTGGTTTTCATTTCATTAGAGGACAAAAATCACTAAAGTATCCCCTAAAAAGTACTTATGATTGTAATTGGCTCATTAATGTTCAATTATTTCCACTGCTTTACTTAGAAGTTAATTTCTGTTAGCAAGAATTCTTTTCAAATGAAATACATTTTCAGTGATTTTGCTTTAGTTTTCCATACTTATACTCTGTCTTAAGTACGCAAATTACACTTTGATTAGTCATACCTCTGTTCCTGTATTTTTTCTGGATAGAAACCAAACTTGCATTGGTTCTTTTTTGCCCTTCATGGACACTGGGCCTCTGTGCTCCAAGTGGAATTGTGGATCTGAATTTTCTGGAGACATAAGACATCTAAAAGACAAGGGAAGGGGAGTAGAGAGAGAAGTATACACAAGTTTTATAGAGAAGGTGACATGTATCATGTTATAAACCAAGATGGCAAGAACAAATGCTGAAGTTGTACTGAAAGGTAACTCAAAGCTTTAGAAACAATGATCATATCAGGATTTCCTAAGATGATGTGAAATCATATAAAATGGAAATAATGACACAATCTTCTCAAATAAAAAGTAAACAACTCTACAAGCAGTGGGGAAGAGTGAAGGTGATAACTCTGTTAAAGCAACAAAATCTCTCAGAGAATTAAACCACATGCAAAGACACATTTTCTTTGCAAATCAGTAAATACCAAGACATTTTCTCTCACCTGTATGTATATTCAGACACATTTATTTTTCCCTTTTCTCCTGTGGTTTCTGTTCGGCTTGTGAGGTTGACAGTATTCCCAAAAAGACAGTATCGAGGCATCCGCTGTCCTATGACACCTGTAACTACCTCTCCAGTGTGTATCCCTATTGTTATCTGCAAAAAAGAAAGCTTTGCTTCAATCATTTTGATCACTAACACATGAATTTTTTTTTTTTTATTTTACTTTAAGTTCTGGCATACAGGTGCAGAAGGTGCAGGTTTGTTACATAGGTATATATGTGCCATGGTGGTTTGCTGCACCTATCAACCCATTATCTAGGTTTTAAGCCCCGCACGTATTAGGTATTTGTCCTAATGCTCTCCCTCCCCTTGCCCCCAAACTCCCAACAGGTCCCGGTGTGTGATGTTCCCCTCCTTGTGTCCATGTGTTCTCATTGTTCAGCTCCAACTTATGAGTGAGAACATGTGGTGTTTGGTTTTCTGTTCCTGTAACACATGAATTTTTGCTTACTTTATATTACAGAATAATGTAGAGTCATCATATAACATCGTAAGAGATGTCTATAAGAATTTCAAGCATATTATGGACAACTTCAAAAGCCCTCCATGAAATCTCTATCTCCCCAGGGAAATATCCTATCTCAAGAGAAACATTTGAAGTCTGAAGATTTCAAAGATGTGAATCTAGTAACTTACATGAGACATGAAAGAGGTTTTAAAAAATAAACTAGAAGGTACAAGAGGTTTTTTTCTCATCCCCATGACTTTCAGTACATGAAACGGACTAGATAATTTCAAACAGGTAGATAAATCTCCATGTCTATGAAAGAATGTAGTACAGTGGGCTGGATGAAATGCTATAGTCTTTGTTGTCAAGATGCCCTTCTTTATACACGTTAATGATTTTCCGGACAACGATATGAATCAATTGTCCAAAAAGGTTTACATACCATTATTACAATATCTACTTCATTTACTAACCTGAACAGATTCACCATCTACTTGAACCTGGCCAGCAATTTCCATCATGTCCAAGGCCAGGTGGCAGATGGATCGTGCATGGTGAATGCATGGCTCTGGTAAACCACTCACTGTCATATACTTGTCACCAACAGTCTCCACCTAACAGTACATATATTTAGATGTTCACGGTTAGCATAAAAAAGACTGTTTCATTTATTACCCTAACAAAAAACATATTTTTTCAAGTCTACCAGCAACTTTAAGCTTCCCTCCCCCTTTAATTCTCTTAAAATTCTAATATATTCAACTCCAACAAAATGAAACCTTGCAATTACTTATAATTTACACACATGATGGACACTTGGGGTCTTTGATGACGGGCAGGTACAGACATAGAATTATTTTTCCTTTAGTAAGCAATTAATTTCTCACCTCAGATAACTTTATAATTCAGAAGAATAATTTTTTACATTTCTACCTAAAACAGTGATGGCTTGACGGCATGGAGAGCCACCATTTCAAGTTCAGTGATTTATCACGGTCATTAATCATTTGTTTGTATGATGTGCTCACCACATGCTAGAGTGTACCTCAGAAAATGACTATAAAATAAATAGTCCTTGTGTAGTTATATTACCCCAGATATCTAGAGATGGTTTACTTAACATTCTTGCCTTTATGTAGCAATATTCCACTGACTTCTTTTTTCCAATATTATATTTATTTCTAAATGAAACAAAGGGCAAAAACGCCTTATAAATGTTTATCTTCTTCAAGTTGATGTTATCTAAACGCAAATCTGAGTCCTTCTCATGCTTCATGACTTCTTTACTGTACAAAGCATTTATATATCTCAGTAAAAATGTCTCTTGCAGAGGACTAAAATGAATGCTATGTTTATACTACATGTGATAAACAGCCTGTCCAGATTTGTTAGCCTAAGTGCAAATAAGATGGTGAACATTTCATTTTAACCAGGGAATCACCCACTTCATGAAACATTCATTGTGGTTACAAGGAAGAGACAGTTTTATAACAAGAGGCAATTATTTAAGAACATGGTAAAGAGTGAATACATGGAGGCTCACTGTACTCAAGGCTGCAGTGCTGGAGTCAGAGAGCTGTGATGACATGGCCTCTGGAGGGGAGTCTCAGAACGCCAGCCTCTGGATAGCTCTGCAGTCAGCGATAAAGAACACTTGCCTTATAAACAAATGGGTTTTTCCGGGAATCAGTCAGTGTGTCAAATCTGGTGTAGAGGTCGTTGAGGAGGTTGACGATCTTCATGGCTCCTTCTCCAGATGCATGCTTGCTACAGAAAGCATTGAAGCCCACAATGCCACTAAAGAGGATGGTCACATTGTCATATCTTTTGGCAGGCACTGGACGCTTGTGCCGCAGCTCATTGGCAACAGACGGAGGAAGGACAGAATACAGCAATCTGTTCAGTGGGATCAGCAGAAAGCCACTGTAAGAAATACTGGGAAAGCCTTTAGTGCTTCTGCTGTCCTTTTCACACAGCATCAGTGTCGTTTGTACTTTAAAGGCCTGGATTCTAGCAGGACATCCTCTAAAATTAGCATCAAATATTAGCTGTATTTATAAGCAAGGATTTACAGAAAACATAAATTATTTGTTCATCCTAATCACATAAGACATCCGCAAGCCCAAACTAGTTCAAACCAAATCAAAATAAGCCAAGCAAACAGACAAAACAAAAAGACTGGTAATAGAAAATCAAAGTTTTCATTTGTAGTCCTGTATTCTGACCCTGCTATTACGATAGTCACAGTATGAAGACTGTCATTACCAGCACCTAAAACATGGTATGAATAGCACAATAATGGAAACAGGTTTGCCTCTTAGAATAAGAAATATGTCTCTATTTTTGGTAAGTAATATTAAAAGAAGCAGAATTTCTCTCCAGTCTCATTCATGCCTCACTCCTCCATAGAAGAAACTGATAAAACCAGAGGAAGTTGGTCTAGAAAATAAATTATTGTATTTCTTTAGGTACAACTGAGACTACTATGGGATCATGCTAAGGGACAAATGTGAGCACACAGGAGGAGGATGACAGCTGGTGAATTTAGAGGGAAAGAAGCAGAAACTAGACCTATGGGCTCTGGATTGGAAGACTGAAGAGGAACAAATGAAGCCTTCCTGCCTTTTTCTTCCTGCCTTTTGCTCTAAAGCAAAAGGGCATATGTGGGAAGTTTAAATATGCAAAATGGAGCTGAGCTCTCAATGTTTTTCCTAGTCATAGTAGAATTTCTCCGGTCTTTCATTTTCAACTTTTAAACATTGAATGTTTTATGAAATATTAAAGCTATATTTGAATAGTAAGTATGAACAGTAAAACTACTTAGCTTTAAAGAAAATTAATAGTAAATGGTTTCTAATGACATCACCTTGAAACCCAAATATCTACAAAAACCAAATTCTAAATCTAATAATCTAAAAAATAATATAAGGATTTTTGAAGCACAGTAACTCGAAATGGTGCAAATAGTTCCTGAATGTGAAACCCACCTTGGGGAATCCAAACAAAGAAGTAGTTCTGTAATAAGTACTTATCAGCTACTCGTATTAAAGACAAGGCCGCTGTTTAACTCCCAGCAACTCCCAGTTTTGGACTCCTGGTCTAGGAAGAGAAGCTAATACTCTGCTTAAGCTGACAATTTAGGAAAAGAAGTGAATTAAGAGCTTTTTCAGTACAGAATATCTGCATATGTCATAATTTAAAGGCTATGTTATTTATAGTGCTGGTTATTTATCTATTTATCATGAATGTAGATATTAGCAAATTGAGTCACAATACAAAAAAAATGAAACCTAGATGATTTTCTAATACAAACAGCCAGAACAGAATATTGAGTAACTCAAACCTACAAACCCATGTGACTTTGAACGTTAGTCCTAAGGTCTTAGAAGCTCCGCCAAATGTTTATATAAACATTAAAAAACGAACACATAAGAACCTGGGTAAAATAGCTTATAAATGTCAGTGATGTGCGTTTAATTAGCATATGAAAGCAAGGCCAAGTAGTATGCATGCTATGTACTTACTTAAATACATTTCTTGAAAATCAAGTATTATCTTTCATGTCCTTGCTCAATATTTCATAATTGAATCCACCACTCATAGAAATGTTTTATATTTTGATATTTTTGCTAATGTATGTCACTATAGATGTAATTGTTGTCATTACATATAATATTACAATTTGTCAGATTCATTTCTTTCTAATCCTAAATTCAAGGTCCCAGAAAATAAATTTTTAAACATGTAATGGCCAGTGGTTAAGTTCATTGTGCAGAGCAGCTCTCTGCACGCGGCAGCCCCCAGCATACTGAAGATGGTCAATATATAACTCTTGTATGAAAGAATGCAGGAATAAATGATAGTTAAACTTCAATTTTTGAACTAAATTTGAATTTGAGTTATTCTCATGATTTTCCAAAAGATATTTTGGCCTATATTATTCCAACTTGGCTTCTAAAAATAGCAGACATATTTCCACCACCATTAAGACTGGTTTATTTCCTTAAGCATAATTTCTTTTTAAAAGCAATGTGAAAGATTTTATTTACTACACCAGAGCTATTACAGGTCACATGGCTTTTTAGTCTGGTTCTCAAACTTAAATATAGTAGAGTCACATTATGTTATGAATAACAGTAGTGCTCCAAGCGTTACATTCTTACGTGTCTGTCTTTTTCTTTTCATCTTCCAGGGCTCTTAACGTGAGCTGTAGCCTGTCAGTGAGGATTTCCAGTTCTTGGGTGAGTTTGTATTCCTCTCTAAATTGTTCTCCCAAAAGAACAAGATCGCGCGTGGCATCATGCAGAGGGATGTCACTTAGATACAGCCCTCTCCTTGTCAAATCGTCCAGGTTCATGACACTGTCATATGGAGAAATGAGGCAAGATCAGTCTCAACTTATATACATGACAATGCAATCCCGATTTCTGTCAAGGAATCTGATCCTGCCACCTCCTACCATTCAAAACATCAGGCTGAAGACAATAGAATTATGGAGAATTGAACGAAGATTGTGAGTTTATTCTCTTAGATATTTAAGCATCTACCAAAAAGCAGTGAACTTGAGATGCATTTTTGCCAGGTTGCACTTTTTGGTGCCATCAGTCTAAATTGAAACGATCATGTAGAAAACATCTCTATGATAAACGTTGAGGTATTTAACACAGGCTGTAATTTATTATTCTCAAATTTTTTCTCATCATAAGGAGAGGAAAAAAATCTATCTTTATTCTCTCTCTCAAGAATAATAATGCTTCTTTTGAGAAACTTTCATTTTGCTTTCTGTATTCTATGAATCTTGTAACTGCTTATTTTTCCCTTTTGGAAACAATGAGTAAAAATTCCCAACCACGTTTATGACCCAGCCTCAGCATGTAATTTATGTATCTAAAACTATGTGTCATTCTTACTTCTGGCTCTCATGTCTTCTTTTTACTTTGACAAATTTTTCTCATTTATTTGAAACATTATTCAATCCTGCTGAATTTTATGCGTCATCATTGTAACTTGTGTCATTTTTCCAACAACATAATAATGTTTATTATTTTAGTGATAATCTGACAAGTAAAAAGTTAACTGCTTTTTAAAAATGTACTCTTTGAGGCTGGGCACAGTGGCTCACATCTGTAATCCTAGGACTTTGGGAGGCGAGGTGGGCAGACCACTTGAGGCCAGGAGTTCAAGATCAGCCTGGCTAACATGGTGAAACGCGTCTCTACCAAAAATACAAAAATGAGCTGGGTGTGGTGGCTAGCGCCTGTAGTCCCAGCTACTCGGGAGGCTGAGGCAGGAGAATTGCTTGAACCCGGGAGCAGGAGGCTGCAGTGAGCTGAGATCATGCCACTGCATTCCAGTCTGGGTGACAGAGCGAGACTCCATCTCAAACAACAACAACAACGACAACAAAACCTAACTGGTTAAAATGGCATAAGGTTATATCTTTGGCTTGAATTTTTTTAATGCAAAGTCATTACTTCTGGCCACTCTGAATAATAATTACTCTAAAAGGAAAAAATTTAGTTATGTCTTTGGAGAATCTGGGATTAATAATTTGAAGAATTTTGAATTAATCCTATCCAAAATTCTTTAAAAGGGGTGACTTTGCAGAATTTTGGATTAATGCAATATATTCTCAGCAGCAATGTTCATAAAGCAAAACAAAAATTAGCATACCTATAAAGAAAATAAAACAATCAAAGATTTTACTAATGAAATACACGGTGTCTTTTAATTTCGTTAAAATGGATATGTAAATCCACTTGCAGAAAAAGACACATCTAGAAAGAAGCCAGATCATCGGCCAAAGGTATACGAGACCTGCCCATGAGCAGAGAAAAAACATGATTGTACGTTCAAAAATGAATGGTCAAAAATGCTCATACTGAGTTACAAAACTTAAATCATAACGGTCTCGTGGTTCTAAAAATGCCCTATATCATTATTTTAATGAACCATTAAGTTTTTTCTAAATTCAAACTAATCATCTTAGAATTATTTTACAAGTAAAACTACTTTTACTTGATCTTTGTTTATGTAGTGTGAGTACAAATCTTCCTACACACCTGAGCATGTCTCATAGGACAATCTGCAATTTTCTCACTGGGTGACCAATGTCTGCATATGGGAATTAACAAATAAACTCCAAATTTTCTGCTTTTATTTCTGAAGAAAACCTTTCTTTCCATAAATAGAAATTGCCCCTAATGAGAAGCTGACATTCTCCTAAGCTCAACCTGTGAAGAGGCAGAAGAAGAAAACACTTACTGATAGCAGATGGGACATCTTTAGATCAATGTAGCTTAATAATTTTTTTAAAAAGCGTTTATGTTTCTTAGTTTTGTTTCTTTTATTTTCCTGATATTTATTTCTCAGGGAAAAGACATCCATATCCTTATATTATCTGATATATTATTCTTATATGTCATAGTTAAATAATATTTAATTAATCTTAAATGTACTTAAAAATTAACGATATATTATTATTATTATTATTATTATTATTTTGAGACAGTGTCTTGCTCTGTTGCCCAGGAGTGCAGTGGCATGATCTCGGCTCACTGCAACCTCTGCCTCCCAGGTTCAAGCGACTCTCCTGCCTCAGCCTCCCTAGTAGCTGCAATTACAGGTGCCCACCACCACTCCTGGCTAATTTTTGTATTTTTAGTAGAGATGGGATTTCACCATGTTTGCCAGGCTGATCTTGAACTCCTGACCTTGTGATCCACCCACCTCGGCCTCCGAAAGTGCTGGGATTACAGGTGTGAACTACTGTGCCAACAATATATTATTCTTATTTGGCCTTATATATTATTGTTATGTAATGTATAATACAATAGTAATAATATAACAGGAGGTTGTTACAAAGTGTATTACATTTTTCAGAAATTTTAAGACCACATTTTTAAGTGAAAAGTGATCATGGTGGAATTCAGATTAAATTTTTAACCAATAGCTCACCAAAACATGCCTTCTTGACTGTGTTACTACATAATGCACCTACACTTTGTTTATACAAAATTATGAATACACAGAATATCATCTCACAATAATCCCCACAGTTATCTTTTCTATTGTTCTGAAGCAAATTTAGACATAATTTTTATATTTCTGAATTCCCATGTATCTCCTAGTAAAATGCTTTCCTAAATTGGAAAACAACAATCTATAGTTTTATTTTTCTCTGACGTTTATTAAAAATCACATTTTACATACATTTTAATTGAATAATATATTTGGAACAGTGTATTTGGATTAGAGTAGGTAAATATTTTTAATTTAAAATAGTTCAAACCCAGAAAGAGACCTTTTAGATTTTTTGCTAACATACTATAGAAAAGATAATTTTTGATGTCAAATATACCAATGTATTTATTATGCCATCCTATTAGCTGCTTTAAAAAATCACTTTTCTACATAATGCCTATTTTGAAGGTCCAAAACTATAGAATTAGCTTAATGCAGATTATTTGTCCCATGGCGTAATGGCATAAACACTCCACAAATGTATTAAGACATGGCAAATAACATAGAGTATGTGATTTCTTCTGAGTTTATTAGCAAATATTAAATAAGATTATCCTTGTTATAAAGTAATACACAACAAGGGCTGTAAAATCTAATTACACCTCAGAGAATATGTAAATTTAATGGAATAAAATATTGTGGCATTCCTTTGTTAGCTAAAGATAGGTACTGATAGCCACTATAATTAATCTAAAAATGATTACCTTGGTGAACATAGAAAAAGTATGCTATCTGCTTCAGGTAAGTAGATCATTTGACCCTTGAGACGTAAGCAGCTGATCTCAGTCCCAGTCAGTTCATCCTCACATTCTAATTTCTCCACATCCAACAATCCTTCCTTGAAAAGGCAAGATACAACCATTAATGAATGCCTTTCTCCCTACCTAAGAATTCAGCAACAAGGACACGCATATCTCATTTCCCACCAAACCACAAAGCAGAATAAGTGCATCATTAGAACAGGAGAGGGCCTTCTGTCAGAGTTCTGCCTGTAATAAGCCTAGTGGCTGCCTTGCAACACTGCAGAAAAGTGACTGTCCCGTCTGAATTCAGGACAGTAACTGTGCTACTCTTCACATAATTATTTCAAGCTTTTGTGAATCTTTTTTATCCCCCTGATTTTCCGGTATGGTTCCAACATACATTACCAGACTCTCAAAGAATAAGCCAAGCCTCCCCATTCTCCCACCCTGTATTCATAGAGCAGCTGCAAACAGTCAGTTCCAAATACAGAAAGGATTCAATGGGTACTCTAGGAAAATGACTTTTGCTGTATCTATCCCAAGAACAGAAACCGTGAGATCCCAGCACTATCTAAATTATCAACTGTGTGAATATTTCATCACTTTTATTCACCCACAAAAACGCTACTAAGAACAATAGACAATTTAAGAAAGAATAAATAAGTGGTTTTGAGTGAAGTTCCAAAAAAAAAAATCCTTTTTAGTTCTGATTTCTAAAATAAGGCACTGTAGCTGTACAGGGAGTAAAAGATGTTGGTTTTTTGATGTGAAACAAGGCCGTCTCAGAAAGACAGTCTCTAAAATTTACCTCTGTTAATTTTAATCAGTTGATAGAGTTCCACTGCTCCTCAGGCAAACCAAAAATCAATGTTATTGCCTTTTAAATAGATCTTCCTTTGAGGTCTGGGTTTTATCTCTCTATACTTTCTCAGAGAATGTGATAATTTTCCCCCCTGAATACTTCTAATTTGTGACATACCTTTCTCACATTTAATGAAATAATATCTTGATTACCTTGCTTCTCAATACAAAAACAGTATTGATGTGAGAAAGGATCCCATGGAAACTAATATCAATATGAGGACGAACCAGCGAGAAGACAGACAGAAGGCTGCAATTCCCAGGCTGGAGCTAAAATATAGATAGAGAGCAAAGAGTATCACATCAGTTAAAATAGTTTTTATACTTTGATATTAATCGCTTGATTAAATCAGCTCAGTTATATTTAAAACTAGAAAATTATAATTATTATAATTCAAGGGAAACTTAGCTGAACTATCAACTCAAATCTCAATCTATACAACTCAGTGATTAAATGGACATTAAATAGTTACAAGAACATGAAATCTGATATGGATTCAGATGACTAATATTCAAATGTAAGCTAGCATAAATTTACAATGCATTTTCAGAAGGAGAAAAAATGAAAATTTATCTTTTAAAATGTACAGTGTTATGTTAAATGTGTATGGCTTGAAATGAAATTAAAATACCAAAAACATGAGCAAACCCTCTCTTAATATTTATCTAGAGGGCTAAAAGTGAAAACAATAGGTAACACTGATTGATTGCTTACAATGAACTAAGTATTTTTCATATGCTTTCTATTCTCATGCCAGAACAAAGAGAAACAGGCTGAGAGAAGTGAAGTAATAAGTTCAAGGTCATACAGTAAGGGACAGGTAGAGTCAATACCAGAGCCAGGACAGCACACTACTCTGCTTCCATTTCACCTGATCCAACTGGGCTAATCCTGAATTTTCAAGTCTCTTTAATTACAAGCAAAAAGTATCTCTAAACGTATGCCATATACAACTCCAAAAGTTAGTATTTAAGAAAAAAAGAGTAAGCATAAAGGATTTTACCAATGGATCTGTCATAGAAGTCAACAGCAGTTTCTCATCATCATCCCAACTGCTTCCTTTGATGCTTTTTCTACTGAATCCATCATCATCTCTATCATTTTGTGTTTTAGTTCTTTTTAAAATCCCCCCTTTTCCCTTAACACCATCAATAGTTGATTTTTAAAGCTATTTACAGATGGTAGATATCCAATGAATATTTATTCAGTGAATAAATAAACATGTGAAAGGTGACTGTTACTAAAAAGTTACCCATTTTTTTTCACTGTAACAAGTATACTATTCTTACATAACATTCCTACTGTTTCTGTATGTGATTATTATAAAAAAATAGTTGTCCTAGGGAAAGTTGTGGTATGCTCAAATACACTTAGTTCACAATTAAACAATTTGTGTAACTTACAATAAACTGCATATTACCTAATACATAGTCAGAGGGTTAAATGAATGGATGGCTGCCTGTAACAATAGTATTTCTATGGGCTTTTGTCTCAGGCCCCAAGGAAGTATGCTGTCATTTTACCTGGGGGAGAACTCTGTATATAGCATTGCCACACTGAGTGACCACTAGGTCCCGGTCAAATATTATATGAAAAGGAAAAGCTTTGCAGAATGTATATGGGCTGATGCGTGATTCCTGGGTACCATTTTCTTCAAATCTGTCAAGATCTTCATAAAAATCCTCTTCTTTTGACTCTTTTTCTTCAATTAAAAATTGAGTATGATCACATTCTTCATTTCTTTGCTGAATAACCTGGATATCAAAGGGGGAAATGGCATGAATTGTCTTCATTTCAGTTTAATAAAAATACCTAAATATAAAAAATGAGTTATGAATACTGCATTTAGAAGATTAATTACAAAAATTCAAAACATATATGCAAATACTCCATATGTCTAAAATAGGAAAATATTTCTGGACTTTGATCTATAAAATTTGAAGATTGAATAATCATTGTAAAATTACAAATCTGGTATCAGTTCCCCAGTATCCTATATGGTCTCTTTGGTAGAATTAGAAAAAAAAAGCACTTGTGGGCTCTGCCTTCTTAGCCAAGCACACTTGTATAGTGAACAACCTGAAAGCCAGCTAAAAGCAAGCTAGCACTATCAAATAAGATTACAATACTATTTTAAAACAATGGGAAATAAAATGATAGAGATTCATATTCAAAAATAAATGCAATGTCATTTTTAACCATCAACTATCAAATACATAAAGTTACAATACCAGGCCAGGTGCAGTGGCTCACGCCTGTAATCCTAGCACTTTGGGAGGGTGGGGCGGACAGGTCACCTGAGGTCAGGAGTTTGAAACCAGCCTGGCCAACATGGCAAAACCCCATCTCTACTAAAAATACAAAAATTAGCCAGGCGCAGTGGTGGGTGCCTATAATCCCAGCTACTCGGGAAGCTGAGGCAGTAGAATTGCTTGAACCTGGGGAGGCAGAGGTTGTAGTGAGACGAGATCATGCCATTGCATTCCAGCCTGGGCGACAGAACGAGACTCTGTCTCAAAAAAAGAAAAAAAAGTTACAATATTAAATTGGGTAAGGTACTGAAAAAGAGGCATCTCAAATACCACTGATGAGGGGGTATTTTGATTAATCTTTCTGAAGGATAAATTGACAATAGGCATAAAAATTCCTTAAAATTTTGTGGATTCTTTGATTTAATTGCAAATCTAGGAATTCATTCTAAAGAAGTAATCGTAATTGTGAGCTAATATCTATAATGTAAAAAAATCCTACTTTTCTAAAGTATTATTCACAGGCAAATACATTATTAAAGTATAGATTTTCCTCTTCTTTTTGGGTTAAGAAATTGCAAGCAATGAGCCCTCTTACAAAGGGAAAACTCGATCTCAACGGCAACCAGACCCAAAACAGAAAAAGTTTGGGACAACATTTCTTCAGTTACAGCTAAATAAAAACAAAATGTTGTTCATTTTTCTTTTCTTTTTTTTTTTTCAGGAGTACCCTGTCGCATTCTCTGCAATTTTTAAAAACAAATCACAATAACTATAGATGCTATTGTATATATTCTTTTAGATATATTTTGTAGCAAAACTGGGATGTTACTACCTCACTGTCAGAATAACTTACTATACTGGTTAAATATTAGTATCCTTATTTATAATTTGAAAATTTTACCACATTAAGGTTGATTTCCCTAACTCATAGACAAGGCAAGAGAGTCAACCTTAAATGACAGGCCTACTTTTGATGTTCTACTCTGTTTCTATTTAACTAGAGAAATTGAATTATATGTATCCTAAACTTATGAATTAATTATTCAATTCTAATTTTTTTGCTTTGATCAAACTGGCAAAACAAATAGCTTTTCTAATCATATTTTTAACTTCTCATTGGTATATCACTTTATGACATGATCTAGTATTAACCATGTGGTTCAAATTGTCTGGTATCTCTGGACCTGATAAACTTAATGTGAGAATCCCTCGAGAAGTCAAAACAGTGCTTTTGAAAAAATTAAACACATAAAATATACCTATAAAATGCAAATATTTCAGAAGTTCATATTGAAGCACTTGAATAAATGGTCAGAAGAGAATTTAAATATTTTATAAAGTGAACCATATAATTAAGTAAATACTTGAATTTCATACAGTTTGCTAAAGCCATCAATCTCCCATGCCAAAGATTCTAATACCACAGTAATAGTAGTTTCCAAGTGTGTCCTAATTTGTGTTTCTTTCTGAAGTTTCTACGAACCTACCTCTTTCTCAGTCTGGTTAAATAAAAATAAAACCAACAGTGCATACAATATGCATATACGTTCACTCAGTATAGATGCTGTGTTTTTTTTTGTTTTTCGTTTTGTTTTGCTTTATTTTTTTTTTTTTCTCTATTTTTTTGATAATGGAGTCTCACCCTGTCAACCAGACTGGAGTGCAGTGGCGAAATTTCGGCTCACTGCAACCTGTGCCTCCCGGGTTCAAGCGATTCTTCTGCCTCAGCCTCCCGAGTAGCTGGGATTATAGGCGCCCGCCACCACGCCTGGCTATTTTTTTAGTATTTTTAGTAGAGACGGGGTTTCACCGTGTTAGCCAGGATGGTCTCAATCTCCTGACCTCGTGATCCCCCCGCCTTGGCCTCCCAAAGTGCTAGGATTACAGGCGTGAGCCACTGCGCCCAGGCGATACTGTTAGTTTAATGTCAAGAACAAAAGACTGGCCGGGCGCGGTGGCTCACGCCTGTAATCCCAGCACTTTGGAAGGCCGAGCCGGGCGGATCATGAGGTCAGGAGAGAGAGACCATCCTGGCTAACACGGTGAAACCCCGTCTCTACTAAAAATACAAAAAAATTAGCCGGGCGTGGTGGTGGGGGCCTGTAGTCCCAGCTACTTGGGAGGCTGAGGCAGGAGAATGGCGTGAACCCGGGAGGTGGAGCTTGCAGTGAGCGGAGATCGCGCCACTGCACTCCAGCCTGGGAGACAGAGTGAGACTCTGTCTCAAAAAAAAAAAAAGATTGGAAATGTGAGGTATATACTATTTTGATTGAATACCAGTGAGATTCCCAATCATGGATGAATTGTGATACTTTACCCAAGGCTTTAATTTTTAAATGTCTGCATTTGATAATGCCATGTTATACACAGTCCTACTTTCTATTAGGTTGGTGCAACAGTAATCGTGGTTTCCGCCATTACTAATGGTTGTAGAAAACTAACGATGCACCTGGAAATCACCAAAAGGTGCCACGTAAGAACTAACACCAACTTCTGAAAGAAAGAAAACCATGAACTCTAACATAACTTTACTAGATTAAATATGTGGAATATCTTTCTAATTTATTTAAATGTTACTATTTTAATTTTGGATAATACTCCACTTAAGGGTTTTAGACCTCCCAAGTGTGTTACAATATATCTATGATCTATAAGAAAGAACTGTCTAATAGGTTTTCTATAAACAAAGAAAGGTTGGAAAAAGGTATCTATCTCCCCACTTTGGCCTCAAGTTTAAAGCTACTGAGAATTGACTCTTGGGTATGAACATGCTGAACACATAAAAAGCAGCCTGACTGGGAGAAACCGTAAGGGCCAGAGGTAAAGAGAAACAGTGGTTCTCTTTGTTGTACGGTTGCCCTATCAGTACCTTGAAATCATCACTCAAAACTAAGAGTGTGTATTATCAATAACAGCACAATTTTTAAAGTACCAGACCTGGCTTCTTTCACCAAGTAACTTGATTAAAAACAAAAACAAAAACAAACACTTTCATTCACAAAATTAGACATTCCAACTATATTTCGGGGCAGACAAAAATCGACAAAGAGAAAATGATCTATAAAATAATACTTAATTTTATATTGCCTTAGAATTTGACTATCCATATTATGGATATTTTGCATGCTGAAACCCACAGCTCAGTCGTCACATATCCTTCTGCTTCCCAGCTGGTGTGTGTTCACAGGGAATGCAAAGTAAATTTCTTGTAGCCTTGAACACTATATAATTAGAAAGAAAAATCTGCTGCCAGAAGGAAAAAAATATCCTGTATAATGCACTCCCAGGCCAAATATAGAAGATTGCTGGTCTTTCCACTGTTTTGGCTTATATATACTTCCAGGGAAGAGCACTAACAGTGATAACTGCAGGTAAATTTAGAGAGTGTCATTTAAAATATTTTTAGATGTCATCTGTGTTCAGAAGTCTCCATTGCTGTTTGTTACCTTCATGTCTATTTCAGTGCCATGGATTTGTTGTGCCACTGTTTTGATGATTCCAATGACAATATCCTGAAGTCCTTCTCTCTCTGAGTAGTAGTGCAAAATGAGTCCTTTGCCCTTTTCTGCATCAGTGCACCTAAAGGAAGGTGCACGCATTCCTGGGTAGATGGTAGCAAGGTGGTCGTGCAGAGCATCAAGGTTCTGCAGCAAAGAAGAAAGGGAGACCAATAAACAATGCTTTCGCAATGACAGCAGACTCTGGGAAAGCAAGATATGAAAACGAGTCAAATCGGAGTCTAGTGGGCAGATCAGCGAAGCAGCACATGTAGCACATCCTTCACTCCACTGAGATATCTGTAAAGCAAGTGCCACAGAGAAAATGAAACTAAGATAGTAGAATTAAGAAAAATATCTGCAGCTATGAATAGTTAGTACATTTTAAGAAAAGATAAACAAGTGGGATTAAAAAGGATGGCTAAAACAGAAAAAAACATAGTTAAGGGCTAAGGCAAAGATACATTTACAAGAGCTTGGGGCAGCTGTTTCTACGTGTTGTGATCAACAACAGGGAATGGCCAAAGGACTCACACATTTCCCTTCTGTTTATACTGCAATTCTAAAACTTAATTGTCAACTCAAAAAACTATGCCCAAATTATAAGCATATAAAACATAAGCATATTATTTTGTGATTTCTATTTAACTATTCTAATATCTTAGAAATTAAAAATCTATTTTAGAAACTAAAACAATGTAATTTCTTCATGTTCTTTAGTATGCTATCATCAAGGTGGAGTTTCATAGCTAATCTGTGAAATAACTACATTTTGAAAGTCTAGGAAAACTAATAAATTGGCCAATAAATATTTTCTGTTTTTGTAGCCTTGCCATTAGTTTGGAAGATGCCACGTTTCCCTGAGTCTCAGATTACTAATATACAAAACTAATTGGTGTAAAGAGTACTAGAAGAAACGGTGTAAGCTATACATTTTATGTGGCCCAAGATGATTTTTCAAATAACACTCAGTTCATAACATGTTGGGGTGTGTGTGTGTGTGCTGCACATATATAGTAGGATATACACACAGCACAGCATGGTATAGGAATTAAGAGCAATATGACTTAGGATCAAGTAGACATGGGTTTAAATAATGACTGTCATTTCATAGGAAGGTAGCCAATTCGCCCAATTTTTCTAAGACTTTATTTCTTCTGGCAAAATGGAGATAACTTTAAACATGTATATAAAGCACTTAGCACATTTCAGACGAGGCTGAAAAAACAACTGTCTCTGAAAGATTCCCTTGCCTTAATCCCTGTGAATATGTTGTATCGCATGGTGAAAGGGATTTTGCAGATGTGATGAGGGTTATGGACCTTGAGTTGGGAAGATTATCCTGGATTATCCAGGTGAGCCCAACCTAGTCACATGGGTGACTGTGCACTTAAAAGTCAAGAAGCTTTCCCTGCTACATGGTGACAGAGAGATGTGCAATGACAAAAGGTCAAAGAGATGGGAGTATGAGAAGGATTCAACACCATGCGACTGGTTCTGAGATGTAGGAGACTGTTGAAGGACTGGAGAGAGGTCTCCAGGACTTTAGGGCAGCTGCCTGCTGACAGTCAAGGAAACTGGGTCCTCAGCCCTATAACTGCATGGAACTGAATTCTGTCAATACTTGAATGAGGAAGAAAACAATTATCCCCAAAAGCCAACATAAAGAAACACAGTCCCGTCCCACCAGCACAGCACGCTGAATATAGTCCAGTAAGACCTGCAATGGACTTCCAACTTATGAAACCATAGGGTAATAAATTTGTGTTAAGCACTTAAGTTTGTGGTCATTTGTTATGGTAGCAATAAAAAACAAATACACCAAGCAAGTAGTAATCTATTCACAACTGGTGATTATTTTTAAAGAGAAGAAAAGAAAAACAACAAAACAGTTTCAAAATGTCATGGGCATAAAAGAACATACCTAAAATGAAAGTACTGGAGATATGCCAAAATTAAACTATGGCTTTCATTCCAAATGTCTCAAAGAGGTCAATTTAGAAAAACAGAAAAATCCAGTGAGATTACTGGGAGGAAACTACGGTGAGAATGAGATGATTCCGCGGGTGTCCACATTTGAGCAATACTCTAACAGGACACTTACAGCATTAATTTTCTGTCCCTTCCACACATCCACTCAATCATGCATTCACTCTATAATGTTATTGTATGTGCATTATATATCATACACTGTGTCATGTGGGCTTGGGTGCAGGGTAGATGTTTGGATGCAGATCTGCATGATGAGGATTAAGCAGCTCATGGTTTATATCACAAATGGATGTGTAGAGTGGCTTTTGATGAGCAAATGAGGAAGCCAACAATTCAGACTGAAAGAATGGAGTTAAAAATACTTCAAACTGAAGATGTGATTTGAGCTAGGTCATGAAGTTTGACAATCTAATCCAGATAAATGATTCAATGACCTCCTCAACTCGATAAATCTGGTGACTTTTTGAACCGTCTGCATCTACTGTTTCCTTCCCCACAATTATACCTGATGGAGTCAAGCTAATTCTTAGCAAAAACATCAGTTCATCCGGATTGCCTCTAGAGGCTGCTATTGCCATGTAAAAGTAATCCAATATGGCAGCCACTAAGTATTGAAGAGGTATATATAACCTACAAACCCCGGAGTCCTAAAACTGTTTTACTTGGTTGAATAGTATGAGAGGTTCTTCCAATGATGAATCATTCTCATTAGGACTCTTCCCTTAGAAGGGACGACCTGAGAACTGCTTCATAGCCCTCTCAGACCCCTTATACTTCTACTTATGTTGTGAAACATTTTGTGAAAGAAAATCGGGTGAGAAAAAAAAAATCACTGAGAGAGTTTTATTTTTATCTGCATTTCTCACAAAGTCAAAATTGAGCTTGTGGCTGCATTTAGAAAATGTTTCTAATAGAGTCAGGCCCAGGTACTGTGTTGTTGGCTCACTTAAAAAAGAAATTGAGGCCAGGCGTGCTCTCACACCTGTAATCCCAGCACTTTGGGAGGCGGAGGCAGGCAGATTACTTGAGGTCAGGAGTTCGAGAACCAGCCTGGCCAACATGGTGAAACCCCACATCTACTGAAAATACAAAAATTGGCCAGGCGCGGTGCCTCACACCTGTAATCCCAGCACTTTGGGAGGCCAAGGCGGGCGGATCACAAGGTCAGGAGATCAAGACCATCCTGGCTAACACGGTGAAACCCCGTCTCTACTAAGAGAAAAAAAAAGAAATTAGCAGGGTGTGGCGGTGGGTGCCTGTAATCCCAGCCACTCAGGAGGCTGAGGCAGGAGAATGGCATGAACCCGGGAGGTGGAGCTTGCAGTGAGCCGAAATCTCGCCACTGCACTCCAGCCTGGGCGACAGAGTGAGACTCCATCTCAAAAAAAAAAAAAAAAAAAAAAAAAAGAAAGAAAGAAAATACAAAAATTAGCCAGGCGTGGTGGGGCATGCCTGTAGTCCCAGCTACTTGGGAGGCTGAGGCATGAGAATCGCTTGAACCCAGGAGGTGGAGGTTGCAGTGAGCCCAGATCTCACCACTGCACTCCAGCCTGGGCGACACAGTGAGATTCTGCCTCAAAAAAAAAAAAAAAAAAAAGGAAATTGAACCAAACAATAACTTCAAAAAGGCATTTTAATATTTTTTCTATACAGAATGCTTACATATTTCATAAATCAATGTACCAATGTGCTTATATCATTTTCATACTCATCTTTTTTACTGGATTATTAAAACATTTCTACTTTCACTCAAGCAGATGGCATAAGGCAATAACGACTTGCACCACTTATGTCACTGGCACCACTTATGCTGGGGCAAGTCAGAGAGTGGACACAATCATCCAAGTCAGTACTTCCTGAGTCACTAAAGATAGGCACTGCACCCTCACCAAAGGATACCAAAAACACCAAATGAGAATGTTCACCTTTTCTGTCTTTTTGCAGTAACCAACTCTCCAGAGATTTACTGTGTTATTGAATTTACTATTAGTTAATTGAACAAGTAAAGTGCTCTCCTGAATCATAAAAGATTGAACACCACTTAATGTAATATTGATTTTCTTTAGATAGTATCTAATATAAAAAATACTCTTGGGATTTCTTGAGTTACAACCTTCCTTACTTGGCTTTACTCTTTCAAAATTTAAAGTAATTACCACAGCCAGACTATTACAAGAAATGAGATTAATGATTAAAAGTTATTTTCATTTAAGTACACTTATATTGCTAATAAATGTGTCATCCTCATATACAGGCTACAATTTTTTTTTTTTGCTACAAAAAGATTCTTACAATGGCCAAGAGAAAACCCTTTCTACATTTGATAATGCTATCTAAACAAAGATGATAGTTCATCCACATTGCTCTAACAATGTATTCTGGGGAATAAGAGTTTCATATCAAAACTGATATTCTGTGTTATTTCTAAATATACCCACAGAAGCACTTACAGAAAGTAAAGAGCTGTGTGGCCAATTGCAAAGAAGTATGTCCATATGTATGAAAGTAAAAAAGACACTGAAAAAATGTAAACTCTTACATTGCAGCACAAGTAGATTCCCAGGAAACAATGATGTAAATCTGAAATATGCTTTGATTCATTCTTCTAGGCTTCATAAAATCAAAAAACAGGAAAAATATAGAGAGTAGGTCCATTCATCTATTTTGATATCTTGAGATACCTAAAGGTTTTAATTTAATAATTTCATTTCTTAATGTTCTAATATCATTTTATTGTTTTTCTACAAGCAAATGAATGTGGTTTTTCTACTCAGGAATTCTGCTCCCTGTCAGTCTAGTTTATTTTATCACCTTGCATTTATCATTTATAAAAGAAAAATTAGTTCTGGTATTCTGGGGTACTCTACTGGAATTTCAGACATAGTACACTTCACAGATTTAGAAAACAAAAGACAATTTATCATTCCTTTGAGTAATAAAGTGTCACATTTTTAAAGATCTTGGGATGTTTCAAAATAAATGCACATTTTCTTTTTGTAATATGCATGCCAAAAATAAGTTCTTACATAATTACAGGGGCAAAGTCCCCAGAAGTCAACTACCTGATTTTCCTGTTTCAAGGACATCTAATTAAATTTTTTAAAGGATCCACAGAAATGGGTAAGACCTTGCCTTGAACGTTTTAAAGAAAAACATTTTCAGTATCCAAGAATCCTTGTTTTAGTGGATGGGGAGAAGGGAGTTGTCTGTGTTGAGAATATTACTGCAGTTTAGATCTGCAAGAAATCTTTAAAACCAGTCATTGCAAACCTCTTTTTGTTTTTCAATGAAGGAGGATGAGGTATAGTATTTCCTTTCTTTCTATCCCTCACACCTCTGAAAAATAGGACCAACACCAACATTCTTTAATGAGAGTCATGTAATTTAAAAAATATTTTGTTAAGTTTTATAAGAAAAAAGTCATTTTGGAATTTGAAGATAAAACATTTAAACAAAGTCGACCTAAGTAAAATGGAACATCAAACCCTAGATGATGAGAAACACCAAAGTAAATAGCATGAGATTGGAGTAGGAAGTGAATGCTTTCATAATACTTTTCCTGCCTTTTCTTCCTGGAGCTGCTTCTTGAGAATTAAATAGCTTTTCAACTGAAAAGATATAGAGATTCTTTTCTAAAAGAAACATTGAAAATCTCTATTTAAAAAGAAACTGTACCAGAGTCACTAAAATTATTTAAATGGAAATAGCGTTAAAGCTATATCAATTTATCATTACCATCCTCTCCAAGGAAATATTTTAATTAAAGAAAAACAGTTAAAATATTTCTCTTATTCTATTGCTTTTAAACTCATGTTAAAAAAGATCCAGTCTATATAATACTACATGTAACAATTAATCAATATTTTGAAAAATTATGAAAATATATACCAGTTATTCAAACTGAAAAGCCTTACAATTCTGGAATACTTCTTATCTTCCTTCATAAGTTTTTAAAAAATAAAACTATTTTTATTATTGGATTATAGAAATTGGCGTTGTGGATGCTGAGAAAACAGCTCTTTTTTAAAATTCCAAAGTTAAAAATAAAGTGAATGGTGCTCTTTTTTCTTAAGAAATATAAATAATTTAGGGAAGTATTAGAATTTTACAGCTGTTCAGGAAAATCCTCATATTTCCTAAAATAACCCTTTGCACAAACATTTAAGAATTAGATCAGTCATCAATCTCAGATTGTTCCTGGTGGCCAAATCACAATGTTGTATTTAATAAGTCAAAACCTGGAGCCAACAGGAATTGAAGAAAATCCCATGGCAGGCTGAACAGAGGCGCTAGTTGATAAACTCAAATATATCTGAGTTGAGTGAATGACTGAAACTGTCAACATATCAAGGTTAGTTGAAGAAGCCAGTGTCTCCAGCAAATAATGAAAGAACGCTGATCTAACTATTCACCTGAGTTCTAATTTAAATTAGGTCATAATTTAAATCCTAACTGTTCTCTAAAATTGCATTTGCCCACGTATATTTTCATAGTCAACCTGGCAGCCTTCGCTGCTCATTTTAATTGCATTTTAACTCTGTAAATTTGTAGGGGAGGTAAAAACAATATAATGTAATAATAATGTAATACCATCGAAATTGAATTGGTAGCCCTGTTTGGGACTGACATGGCTCCTATTCCCAGGGGTAATAGATTATCTTATCAAATACAGCTTTCTCAAAGCTCTTGACTCATTGTACAAGCATATACACACATATTAACACAGACATAAAATATAAAGGGAAAAATAATGCACAGAGTAGTGGTCTAGTTATCCATAGCTGTATGTCAAACAACTTTAATAATTTATTTGTTATTTTTCATGGTTCTGTGGGTTGTCTGGCTAAATTAGAAAGTTCTACCCTTGGGACGGAATCAGATGGAAACTGGGCTGAAATTATCAGAATGCCGGAGCAGGCTGGTTTTCCAAGATGGATCAATCAAATGGCTGGTAGTTATTTCCAGCTCTTTGCTGAGAGCCCAGCTAGAACTGCTATCTGCCAGTCTACACGTGGCCTCTCCATGTGGCTTGTGCTTCTCATTTCATGTGTCTGGGTTTCTAGAGGTACCATCGCAACAGCAACTGTTCCAAGATACCCTGAAGGAAACCAAGACTTCCTGTACTCTAGCCTAGGAAGTTTAAATATCTCACTTCTGCCCCATTCGATTGGTTAAATAGTCACTAAAGCCAACCCAGATTCAAGGAAAAGAGAATTTTACCTCCCGCAAGGAAGAGGCAAAATCATACTACAGAAATGCATGTGAGATGGGAGAGACTGTTGCAGTAATTTAGGGAAAATAGAATGTGCCATAATGCAATAGGACATTAGAGAGTAGAGGTGAGCGTGGATTAAGGTAGAAATAACATTAAACTGAACATTCCTTATCAGCTATTTTCTTATGAAGCTTTCAAATCCCATGTATTCTTTGCAGTCTTTTCATCAGTACACTAGAAGCTTCAGATAGAAATTGACTATAGCAGCCAGGCGCTCTGGCCCATGCCTGTAATCCCAGCACTTTGGGAGGCCGAGGCGGGCGGATCACGAGGTCAGGAGATCGAGACCATTCTGGCTAACACGGTGAAACCCCCTCTCTACTAAAAAATACAAAATAAAAGAAAAAGAAATCAGCTGGGTGTGGTGGCGGGCGCCTGTAGTCCCAGCTACTCGGGCGGCTGAGGCAGTAGAATGGCGTGAACCCGGGAGGCGGAGTTTGCAGTGAGCCGAGACTGCGCCACTGCACTCCAGCCTGGGCGACAGAGCAAGACTCCGTCTCAATAATAATAATAATAATAAAACATTAAAAAACGCAAAAAAAGACATTGACTATAGCAATAGCATGGAACCACACATTTTATTGTCAATTTATGAATAAAAAAGTGGAAAAACTAGACAAAATTCTTACTGAAATATGGTCTTGTCTTTAAAACAATATACCCAGGTAAAATATATAAGATCCAAAAATCAAATTTTAAAAATGTCTTCTTTTTCTCTTTTTGATACATTATATTTTCAATTATTAAATCAACCAAAGAATAAATGCCAAAGATTATTACTTTTTTCATCAGCCCACAAGTTGATGCTTTCACTGGTGATTTAAGAAAAAATCAATTCTAAACTGTGAAATGCCTAGAGAAGAGGAGTATTTCTACAAAGTTTTCTCTAAAAATATTTCTTATATTTTATTATCCATTAAATTTTATATTTTATTTATCCATTTAGGATAAATTTTATTTATCGTAAATATATCCTAAATATTATTTATCCTAAATTTTATTTATCCTAAATATATCCCATTATATTTTATTTATCCATTTAGGACTTCTAGCTATTTTTTTGTTAAAGTCTCAGTGTGGCTTAAAATACGCATAATGCAAATTTTTTAAACTTGAATTTGTAAGCACAGGAGAGACTGCATAAGCAGGGTCATGAATTGGATATTGGCACCAAAGCCTTTCAAGGGGAAAGATATGTTAGTATTCGTTAAGTCAACTGTGAATGGAAATGATAACCTCCATGTGAGAAAACAAATATTTTTCTGGAGCTAAGCTACAGATATTATCTATACAGTATCCTCGAATAAAAAATTTAAGCAAAAGAGGTATTATCCTGATAAAACAGGCTGGACCAAATAATTATAAAGACACATATACTTCAGAATTAATTAATTCTATTATTTAAAGACTGTTTCATTAATTGCCTATTATATGCTGTGTCTAGTACTTAGAAATTTTCTTTCATTATTTCAAGAAAAGTAAAAACAATGGTATGGTATGTATATACATATATAAGACAGACCTATTCTTAATAATGTATCTAACTGAGAGGCTGTGGACAGGCAACTTCCAAGGAAATTCTGCTTGCTATGATGAGTGAGTCAGAGTTGCTCAGCTAAGGCATAATCAAATAGTCTCCCATGTTATGATTTCAGTAGCTATTTTAGTGTTCCCTAAAAGCTTAAAATGGAAATGTCAGAACGACCATTTTAAAAGTGTCAACAGATACAAGCAATGTACCCTGTAAATTAAATAATAAACAGTAATTTAGGATGTTCACCTGAAAAGGAAATTGGTCTAGTGTATGTCTCTTCTTTTATATTTCAATCTATGATTCATCCGTAAAAAAAATTACAGGATCTCACTCGAAATGGGTTATCCTGAGGCAAATAATTCAGCTTGATCTATTGGTGTGTTTGCTTCCTATTGTGTGTTTTCTGCTTTTGCACAAACAACAAATATTCACTTTTTTAAAAAAGATATTCATTTATTCTCAGATATACAGATTGCATCTGTGAAGGTACAAACATTAAGAGATTATACATGATCTCTGGCTTCCTGAAGTTTACATTCCAGTCCATCAAATGGGAATGATAATGCAGTATGAAAACTACTGTGGCTGGGGAAATAGAGTGTCCTATGAAAATAAGAGAGAGGTTAGTTACCGTGACTAGGATAGGGCAGAGCTTGGAGAGAGGAGTGGCGTCTTCCCAGAGAAGTAATTTTACCTGCAGAATTAATAGAATTTATCTATGGGGAAAGTGCTGGAAACATGCTCCAGGCAAAGAGAAGAGCAGTGGAAAAGCTGAGAGGATAGCGGGAACAAGATAAATACAAGGTTCTTAAAGAGGTTAAGTTTGGCTGGACTGGGGGAGAGGGAGAGGAAAGATGCAGAAAGGATGTAGGTTTCAATTGTTTTAAATATTTTGACAGTTTCCAGTGAGCAATAAAAAATTACTCCAGAGTTTAAGCAAGAAAACGATACGACGAGAGACATTTGCATTTCAGAAAAAGCACTAGAGTTATAGGATGGAGAAGAGATTGGAGGAGTCATGAAGAGAAGCAGGGAATCCATTCAACCTCTAGATAATGGTAGACTCTCCCAAAGAAGTGTGGGGGGAAATAGAGAAAAGTGGCAGAATTCCCAAAGCTCAGTATTTGGGAAATAGAATCTAAAGATGCTGTGACTGATTAAAACCAGGACTGAAACAGAAAGAAAGTCTTTAAATTTTTAGTGAAGAGTTGAAGTCACCATAAAGAATATTTTACTAATTTACGTAATAAAAATGTCAATATATGTGTGCTGGCATGTTAAAACAATGTATGAAAGTTAATGATTTTGTTTTATAGTCACACAGAAAAAGTCCATTTAATTTCTGTGTAATCAGCCTAATGATAACATAAATATCTACTTTTTAGAAAAGCAGTATTTTAACATATTCAATTTGCCCTTAAAATGTATAATTTCAAAACCAGGAGAAAATAAAAGAACTGAATCATAATGTAAAATATTGATGAAAACTACAGTATTCTAACTTTCTAGTTTCTTCATTTTTCACTCTCACGTTGAAAGAGAAATAAAATAAAATTGTGTATAATTTAAAGCTATGTTAACTACATTTTATATAACCAAATATATCCAAAATATTAACATTTTAACATGAAATCAATCAATATAAAATTGTGAATGAGCCATCTTTTATTCTTTTTGTACTGTCTTTGACATCTGGTGTATATTTTACACTTGCAGCACATTGCACTTTGTTGTGTGTATGTATGTATGTACACATGTATGTATGTATGTAGAGACAGGGTCTCACTCTGTCACCCAGGCTGGAGTGCAGTGATGTGATCACAGCTCACTCACTGCAGCCTCCATCTCCCAGGCTCAAGTGATCCTCCCATCTCAGCCTCCAAGTAGCTGGGACTACAGGTGTGAGCCACTCCCCAGTTTGCACATCTCATTTTAAATGCTGAGTAGCCTCATGCACTAGTGGCTGTCCTATTGGATAAAGCAGCTCTGGAATACAGAGAAACACACCTAAAAGGCCGCTTGCTCTCTTACTGTGCCATAACAAGCTTAGCAGATGGTCACAATGAGTAGAGGTTAAAAAAAAAAAAAAGGAATTAATAAAACCACTTGAATCTTTGTTTTGTTATGTAAACATGGGCATTGAGAGAGAGAGTTATAAGTCAGAACAACTGAAAGTTGAAACTTTGCTATAAGTTGATAGTGGCCAACAAAAGTACTAAAAAGTGAAATATGTATTCAAAAACCCAAAATCCCCCAAAACATTTAAGTATCAAATTTTAATCCATTTAAAATAATCCCATTAAATGCTGCCTGTTCAATTTTATTTAAATATCTCTTGGCAGCTACTTCATTTGGAAGTGGCAGCTTTTTTTGACACCAGTAGTTTAGTAAATCCATGGCAGGAGATTGCAAACCAGTTTCCAACTTGATTTAATGCTGTTTTAAGTTTATAAGAAAAATGTCACTATGTAAACAACAGACATTTTGATTAAACACTAAAGTTCTTATTTTGGCTGTTAAATCAATAATGCAGCTGGATTGAAAGTAGTTTACATTCCCTCAAAACTGGGCTTCGGTTCAGCTAGTATTGCACTGACATCATTTTCCAGCAAGATCTGGCTGCTGAAAGCAGCCAGTTTAGAAATATCCTTTGCAAACAACTATATAATTTTCAATGTTAACACATTTCAAGAAGAGGGTCTCACAAATGTCAATGCTTAAAATAGTATAGTCAATCCAGAAATAGTCTCTCATCTAATGTGTAATTTACTAGTACAATCTTTTAAGGTAATTTTAACAAGAATGTAAGACAAAGGCCTGTGATTGCATTATTTAACTTTTTCACCTGAAACTGACTTTGGACTGTTTCCTATTTTCCCTCGTACAGTAGATTAATTAATATTTAACTAATGATAATGGATCTTAAGTATGTTTTGGTGACAGAACACCTGAAAACCCTACTACTTTTTCCTAAACATTGAGCTCCAGGTAGAACTTCATAAATACTGATACATTGCTCGATTATATCTACAAACTAGGAATGTTTTGTAAATAGAAAATAAGGCCATATTAAATGTCTAACACATAAAACCACAATCACTAGGATATAGAGCCATTACCCCAAAAAAAGGGCAGTTGAACAGATCACAAAAGACCACCTGGAGTTCTTCAGGGAACATTAATTTACAACTTGCATATTCAGTATCAGCAACCAGAAGTTAAAGAAAAAATATAATGCTAAAATGTATTCGAGACGCTCCAATAACGATGATTTTATGTGAATTAGAAAAAGGTGACTACGATTCCATTTCAGAAGCAAGACACTCTTGTACAGCTGAGTGAACAAAAGTATTCTAGAGTCTATATTTGAGAGTTATAAACACAGAACTTTTAACTATAGGACCTCAAATTGCTTACCTGTAGAAATTCTCTGACATTAGAGCCCAGGACACGCAAGATTGTATCATAACCAGATTCTTGGCAAAAGACGAAAAACATCTTCCCAAACATTTGGAGGATTTCTCCAGCATTGAGATCTATTTTACAAATTCAAGAGGGGAAAAAAAGCATATAATAGGTGAAATATTGTTAATAGAAAAAATGAAGATAAGTGTTTATTAAGTAATGTAAAATGTCTTCAATTTTTGTGCATGGCAAGCATAGATCATATGAAAAAAATCCCGCCAGGACAATACAATGAAATCAGAGAAGACAACGTATAAACATGTTAATGGTGTACATTTGCATTTACAAGCAAAGCAACCAGTTTTTCAGCTTCTATTACAAATTATAAGTGGAGCATACCTAATCTGAAAATCTGAAATTCTAAATACTCAAGAACCTGAAACTTTTTGGTCACCAACGTGACACTACAAGTGGAAAATTCTACACCTGAACTCGTGTAATGGATTGCAGTCAAAATGTTGTTTCATGCAGAAAATCATTTAAAATATTGTGCAAAATTGCCTTCAGCCTATGTCTATAAGGTGTACATGAAACATAAGTGAATTTTATGTTTCGACTTGAATCCCATCCTCAAGATATCTTCTTATGGATATGCAAGTATTCCAAAATCCAAAAAAAATCTGAAAGCCTAAACACTTCTGGTCTCAAGAGTTTTAGACAAGAGATACTCACCCTGTACTTAATTTTGGCCATTTTAAAGCATATATTTGATATACTACTTCTTTTTTCCAAAAAACACAGATTTTTAAAATCATCAAGAATGCACATGACAATATTTTGATACAAAAGTCTTTATATAAATATGTATATTTAATAACTTGATTACATATAACATGTACCCTGGTGTCCTGCTTTTTTCTTAATAAACAATCATTAATATTTCCTAAAACTTAAATTTTCTGTATCACATTTTTTTTAGTTTTTTGAGACAGAGTCTCACTTTGTCGCCCAGGCTGTAGTGCACTGGTAGGATCTCGGCTCGCTGCAACCTCCACCTCCCGGGTTCAGGCCATTCTCCTGCCTCAGCCTCCTGAGTAGCTGGGACCACAGGAACCCACCACCACACCTGGATAATTTTTGTATTTTTAGTAGAGAGGGGGTTTCACCATGTTGGCCAGGATGGTCTCGAACTCTTGGCCTCAAGTGATCCACCCACCTCGGCCTCTCAAAGTGCTGTGTATCAGTTTTAATTGCTATCTTATTCAACATATGGATGCAATAATTTATTTAACCAATCCCTTCTTATTGAAAATGTAGGCTTTTTTTCAGTTTTTGATAATATATGGAACTCTGACATGAAAACACATACATAAATCTTAATGGAAAGAGATCTAATAATTTATTTAGGAAAAATTACTGAAGGTTTTAATATTTTTTTAAAAGGCTTTCATGAGGCAAAATTGTTCTCAAAAAAGTTGTCTTAACTACCATCACATTTAAAATGTATGTGATTTCCCATTAACTGTACTCCATCATTACACTAGATATTTCCATTTTTAAGACTGCCAAATTGATAATAAAAAAAGTTATTTCATGTTTGTTTCAATTTTGATTGCTGGAGGCTAGATATTTTTCTTGTTAATATTAAACATTTACCAATCTTTTAAAACAATTTTTATTCTACTATAGATAGTGTTTGCTTTCCTAGTTATATGTGGCAAAGCTAAAAGCTTCATTCTATTGTATCCAAACTATAGCCCAGTTAAAAATTAAGCACTGTGGGAATAATAGATACTACTTTGAGAACAACTTCTTCTCCATGAAATTTTTAAAACTTTGCCTTCTTCAGAAAGATATTTATCTGTGGTAGATCTCAGTTTCATGTTTCTTTTACCAATAGTTAATATAACTTGTGACTACAAAAGAGATTTGGAGAAACACATATTATACTTGAATAACTACCGTTTTCTTGACACCACAACTGATGTTGTTACATTAAGTATCAATAATTCTCTTTCCTTCCTGAATACATGGCTTTCTGTTGGGGGAGACAAAGGACTGGGCCTGGCGTGGAGGCTCACACCTGCAATCACAGCACTTTCGGAGGCTGAGCCAGGTAGATCACTTGAGCTCAGGAGTTCAAGACCAACCTGGACAACATGATGAAACCTCGTCTCTACCAAAGATACAAAAAATTAGCTGGGCGTGGTGGTGCGTGCCTGTAGTCCCAGTTACTTGGGAGGCTGAGATGGGAGGATCACTTGAGCCTGGCAGGCAGAGGATGCAGTGAGCCGGAGTTGGGCCACTACTGCAGTGCAGCCTGGGTGACAGAGCCAGACCCTGTCTCAAAAAACAACAAGAAGAGCACATTTACTCTTTTCTATTCTCTAAAGAATTTGCAAAAGGAAAAATAAGACTTGGCATAGCCTGAGCCTAACATGATATGTGGATGCCCACCACACAACTATGCAGGTTGTACAAATGCTCTGCACCACTTCTGTAACCCTGCGTTGTGATCTTGAACCATGCATTCTGTGAGCTTCTACGTGTAACTTGGCCAAAGAAGGAAAGTTGCATTCAACTTACTGAGGACTTTGCTTGCAGCAGCAACCAAATCATAAGTTTTGGAGTCATCATATATTATTCTGACAAGAAACTGTCCTTCTTCATCTAACTGTGCCTCTTTTCTGGAAAACAAAAACAAGAAAGACAGAAGAGAAAAGTTGAAGTTAAAAAAATAGCTACTATAAGTATAATAATTGTATAAACAATGGCTTTATCTCTGAAATAGAATTTGGTTTTTTTGGGCAAATTTGTTTAAACATCATCATGTACCTAAAATTCTAGTGAGAGAGCAGAAATGATGTCATATCCCCCTCCCTAAATTAAAATGATATATTTAAGTATATTTTAGCAAGATTAACAGTACATAGTACTCTACTGCTCAATACAATACCTGCCATTAAATATAATAAATTAAATAACTTTTGGGTTAATAGATGTTTAGCAAGTTTTGTTGAGTCCCTATTAGGTGCCAGACATTGTTCTGGGTACTAGGGGTACAATCTTTAGTAAAACAGACAAAAATCCCTGACTTCTTGCAATACATATATTCTGGGAAAACAGACACAACATAAAATTAATAAATAACATATAATGGTAAGTATTATACTTTGGAGAAAAATAAAGCAGAGTAGAGCAGTGGAGAGCTCAAGGACAGCAGCCAGGAAGGCCTCACTGAGAAGCTGGCATTTGAAGAAAGTCTGAAGGAGCTCCGAGAGTAAGCCACGAGCAATTTAGAGAGATTGTGTTCTGGGCAGAGGGAAGAGCAAGTGCAAAGGGCAAGGCAGGAGCATGCCTGGGGTGTCAGAGGACAGCAGAGGCCAATGTGGCTGGAACAGAGGAGGGGGAAAAGTAGCTATCAGGGAACGGGTAGGAGAGGTAACATGAGGCTACAGTGCTTGGCCTGGTTGGACGTTGGGATAACTGCCATTTACTTGAAAGAGGTGAAGGGCTTGAGCACTTGTGACATGAGTGGTGATATAAACTGCTCTAGGTTAAAGGGATTCACCTGGCTACTGCATTGAAAATAGACTAAAGGGGTACAAGACAGAGGAGGGAGACCAGTTAGGAGGCTGCTGCCAACATTCAGGTAAGAAGTGTTGGTGGGCTGGGCGCGGTGGCTCATGCCTGTAATCCCAGCACTTTGGGAGGCGGGGACTGACAGATCACGAGGTCAGGAGATCAAGACCATCCTGGCTAACACGGTGAAACCGTCTCTCTGCTAAAAATACAAAAAATTAGCCTGGCGTGGTGGCGGGTGCCTGTAGTCCCAGCTACTCGGGAGGCTGAGGCAGGAGAATGGCGTGAACCCGTGGAGCAGGTAAGAAATGCCTCAAACTCATATATATTCTAAAGGTAAATTCAGCATGATTTGCTATGGATTGGACACAGGGTGTGAAAAGAGAGGACTCAAGGAGGACACTGAGGTTTTTGGTCTAAGCAACTAAAAGGATGTTGTCACCAGTAGCTGAATTGGGAAAGACTTGTTGGAGGCGGACAAGGGGTCAAGGTCAAGAGCTATGTTTTCAACATATTAAGTTTGAGATGTTTTTAAACATATTAAGTTTGAGATGCCAAGTGGACTGATAAAATCTTCAAATATATCCTTAGCTTATTAAACACAGTAGCTCAAAACATACACAGTACTAGTGAAAGAAAATTATAATTGTTTTTAAAAGTTGTCATGATTATATAAATGTATTTATTTAGATAGGATTTGAATTACTTTTCTCAAACAAGCATTCAAAGGAGAGGTGAAATCCATTGTTTAAAACACTGCCACCTACTACGCATGTAACAAATTGCACATGTACCTCATAAATGTATGTAAATAAAAAAACCCACATGGCCAACTGTAGAAAAGAACTAAGTTCCAGATATCATTGCCAATGTTAACTTCACAAAAATACATGGAGCTTGGATGTCAACCTCTTACTCTCAATCCAATTCATCGGAATCCCTGTACATTGCCAAGAGAATACAAAGGAAAGTAGCCACTCTAATTAGGCGAACTTGCAACACAGCAGCTCAAATAACTCCTTAAATATTTTCAAGGCAGTCCTTAGTTGCTTTCTCTCCTTCAGAAGCTGTGCTATCACAGCTGCCACTCATGACTATATCTGTGTATGCTCAAGGGAAAAATTCCAAATGGTGGTATGTCTTACATCCATACCTTAGTATGCAGATAGTCTTAAAAACATCCTCTGTCCTTCAGAGCTTATAATTTATTTGCCTGCATTTATTCATAACTTTTTTTTTAAAAGCATGTTTTCTGTAAGCACAGAGATCTGCATTTCAGAGCCCAGGCTTTACCAGCTAAATGAACCGGAGCAAATCACATAAAGCACATAAGCATTAAAATCTCTCTTTTCTGGCTGGGCAGGTTGGCTCATGCCTGTTATCCCAGCACTTTGGGAAGCCCAGGTGGGAGGATCCGTTGAGCTCAGGAATTTGAGAACAGCCTGGGCGACATACCAAGACCTCTTCTCTCCTAGAAATAAAAAAAAAATTAGGCAGGTGTGGTGGCGCAAGTCTGTAGTCCCAGCTACTTGGGAGGCTGAGGTGGGAGAATATTGCTTGAGCCTCGGGAGTTGAGGCCTCAGTGAGGCGTGATCTTGCCACTGCATTTCAGCCTGGGCAACAGAGCCAGATCCTGACTCAGCTAACAAACAAGCGAACAAACAAACAAACAAAACCTCTCTTTTCTGAAGTGGAAGCAACAGATAATTCACCTTTCACAACAGTAAAGAGATAAAGTGTACAAAAGTATATTCTAAGCAGTTAAAGTACTATACATATTCCCAGTGAATATAGCACTCCCCATGTCTACTCAAACAATTATAGCACTGTACATAAAATATTAAATTCTTCTCCCTTTTTCCAAACATAAACAGCTGTTAAACAAAAGCAACACAACTCTTCGAAGACCTCAAGTCTTTTTAATACCAAAAGTCAGTGAGATATCAAAAAATTATGAAAACGTAATATACAAACATTGTCTTATCCTCTGATAAATGCTACTATATATTTTCTGCATTCTAATTTCTAATTGTAAAAATATATATAAAGTACAGGAAAGGAAAAACTAAAAAGAGAAAATAAGCCTCCACTATCCTGAGATAATCACTGCTATTATAATTTTCAAGTTGTTCATGCTTGAATATACTTATATATAGAACATACTGCTTTAAAACCCATTTGAGTGAATATTTGATGGATATCTTTTCATATCATAATTATACTTCTATACCATGGCTGCATAAAATTGCATTGTAGACATATTGAAGTCTTGGTAGGTAGTTAGATGTTTTTATTTTTTCCACAAGTATAAAAAATGTTATGAATATCTTTATAGCTTCTTACACTTCTATGTAAAAACAGAACAAATTCTTAGGAATGGGATAAATAGTTTGACGGATATGGATACCTTATGTTTTGTCATTTTGCTATTAACATTTTATTTTGAAACAACACTGATCTATAGATTAAAATTTTGGAGACTCTGACAGAATATTCTAATTAAAGATACAATAAGTAGAAATTTATTCATGTTTCACCATTCTGTTTCTTCCAATTGGAATAAATCAAATCACATAAATTTCTGTAATAAACTCTGTTTATTTGAAACACTCACCAATCTCTAGTAACCCATAAATAAACAAGGTACAAGCAGAATCCACAGTCCCTCTGCATAAAACAGGGGAACAGCCATTTCCTCAGAAACCCCCTAACCATGGGTCAATGCATTGGTCCTTTCCTTTCTCTCTCTTTATTAAAATAAGCTCCCTTATCATCAAAGCTTTACTTCCTGAAATGACCAGTGTCAATGCTCCCCAGTGGGGACTGAAATAGAAATTAAACAGTAGTACATGGAAGGAAATAATAATCTTCTTTTAAAAATTTCACTCTGAATTCCTTTGAATTATTCAAAGTACTTAGGACTCTATTTACATCTTTGGGAATGTGGGGCTACCCTTTTTCTTTTTCTTTTTTTCTTATGGAACAGTTTTACCACAAATATTTGGATGCCTATTATGTCCAAGCACTTTTCTAAGCACTTTTAATATATCAATGAACAAAAGAGGTAAAGATCCCTGTCCTCATAAAGCTTATATTTTAGCTGACAGATACAAGTAATAAGCAATAAACATGATATATAACAAAATGATATAATATGTTATGAAGCAATAGATACTACAGGAAGAGGTAGCTCTGGATAAAGACATGAGAGTGGAAATGCAAGAGGAAGGGGCTGGATGCAGTATACATATGAGGATAATATACATAGGTGTTCATGGTAGGCTTCATGGGGACAGTGACGCCGGAGCAAGGACTTGAGCAGGAAACCTCCATCCTTACCACCTTATACCTAACCTTTCTGGGGCCACTTCCTTTCCTTCTCTAGCCTATTCTTCATCTTCTTTCCTTTCAGGGGAAAAGCTAATTGGAAATACTGCAAAAGTTAATTGGAGGTATCGCAAACTCTTTAGTATGAAGCAGTTTAATACACTAAACTGAGATGGAGAATATACAATGAAGGAATAATAACTAAGAGAATTAATTTCAGATAATATGGCCTTTGAAGCTAGTAGAAATTTTGAATCAACCAAGCCTTCTCTGTTGTCTCTCAATTCTCAATACAACTTTTCTTCTAACTTTTAGGTAAATTTATATATAATCGGACTTCATGCTGTCAAATGTTTTAACCTCCAGAAAGCACAGAGATGTGATAATAACCATTTCCCAGCACTCTGCAAAATATAGCTGCCACTGTTCTTTGAGGAAAGTTTTAATGGCTTCCCTTCCCACACTGCAGGCTTCCTTCTCTCCTTAGCTTTAGGGCTGTTTTTTTATCTGCTACCTGAAGTCACAGAGGGCGACCAGTAAATTTAAGAAAAGTTAGGAAGTAAGCTAATATTCAGATTACATAAACAATTTACATAATTCAAGTAATATTATCTCATAATTCTGCATCTCCCACTTTGCTATCCCATAACTTTTAAGTTCTTTCCTCAAGAGCAAAGGCAAGAATAACACTTCTAGTAATTTAAAATTTATTTTTGTGACAAGTAGAATTTATATGGGCTTAAATTATCCAAATTCAGCCAAGTACATTCACCAAATTTTATAGACTCATTCATTCTTTCAGAATTATTTTTTGAGCTCCAATTTTGTTTAAATTGTTGCATTATGTATACATTGTTACATTATTATTATGTAATTATATAATTACATAATAGGGAAATTATGCAATTACCTTATTATTTAAATTGTACTTATTTTACATGTGAGAAAAACCACAGGTTTCCCTGAGAACCACAATTTAAGATTTTTCTGAAAATTTTGGACATACTGTCATTTTTTTCAATGCTTCTTAGATGACAAAAAATATCATATAAACTCTAAGTAAATTGGATTAAACTGTGTTCAAGAGTGCTCATCTATCAAATAATAACCAACAGCACTACAATCTTCATGCCTCCTAGTTTGTATTACAGTCTGTTGCTGCTTACTACTATTATTTTTATTTTTAAAAGTCCTACCAAATCCCAAGTGAACATAGTCTTTCACTATTTTCAAATACTATGACTTGCCATATTTACATACCCAATGACTCTGCTTGGCTTAAGCGTTAAATTTTTCTATTCAGTGAATTACTCAATGAAAGAGGTCAGCAGACAATAATAAATATTTAGAGAGGTTCAAGTTTAAAAGCACTTTCATTGGCTAACAAGTAAACCTAGATAAAGAGAAACTCCCTTGATTTCATCTATGTCATAAGTCAAAGTCTTTCCTCACACAGTATGGAAAATAAACAACTAAGCCAATCCCATGTGCAGTTTGGGCAGATTCAACTCTTGGTGTTTCATTTCCTCATCTGTAAAACAGGCTAACAGCAGCAGTTACCTCCGGTCATTGTGTTGGTTAGCAGAATTAACCTATGCAAAAATCTCAGGGTAGTACTTCTTGCACACTTAATGCCTGATACTTCCTCTAACTGGTAAGTTATAGTAGTTGGAGAAGATGAAGGAAGAAGGGAAAAAGGAGAAAGAGGAAATGGCAAGTGGAAGAAGAGAAGGGAAGAATGACAACAAAATCTTAGTCATTTTTAGTCAGAATCAAATAATTAAGGTGCACTTAGTATGCAGATTTGCTGATAGAATTTACAAACTAAAATAGCCAAGAAACAAACAAGCTCTGTTGCCCCTAAGGGCTTTAAAAATAAAGATCGAATTCTCACCTGGCAACAAAATCAGAAATAATCACATTCTTTGTATCTGTAGCCACAGTAACTGTTTAGAAGTTGAATACGTATAAGTGAAATAGTTTCCCAGTAGCAATCAACTTCCTACTTACTCTTATTTGTTGGAATTTAAGCAGATCCTTTATTTATACTAATTACCTTTTCACAAAGAGGTAGTTGGTATTTTTATAGTGGTGGTGTTTGGTAAGTTGGGATTTTTTTCTTTAATGTAATTACTGGTGCCTAACCCAGGTGCCTGGAATTGCACATGTGCTTAATAAAGGTGCACATGTGCTTAATAAAGGTATACATGTTTAAAAATTAGTGAATGAATTAATGAAATCAATTTCCCCACACATTTCCAAGCTCCCTACAAAAAAAAAAAAAAAAAACAAACAAGTAATCAAACATTACTAACAAAAGTCCATCATTTGCTTTCAAACTAAAGAATATTTTTTATTATTTATTTTTTAAAACTAGGTATACAATTTGTCCAAAATATCCAGGTAACATTTCTTATAACTTCACATACAAGGAGATATTCCTTAACTACAATATGTGAACACAGAAAAACTGAATTCATATTCTGACCCTGAGCTCCTGCTACTGTACATTTTTAGAGTAAGTTAAGAATATGACAAGACTGCTATATTTCAGTTAAAGAAGTTTTCCATGGAGTATTTTGAAATGGGAGAGCCTGAACACAGGCATGTTGAAAACATAATCTCAACACAAGGTCTGCTCTTGGGCAGAAAAGGTCAATCAGGATCAAACAATCAAACTGACCAATGACAGCTCCAAGATACTATTGATCCCATAAACAACATTATCAGAACACATGCTGTATTAAAAAACAGTACGTAGGTGTCGTTTTGATAATAAATCCTAGAATGGTCCATTGTAGTGAGCTGAATTGGTACCATAATGTTGCATTGTCCCCAACCATTATTAAAACTAAAATCTCCCACTATAAACTGTGGATAGTAACTATATATAACATCTAAAAAAGTAAAACTTTATATTGCTTTTTTCTAAGTGGCTGTGGAGCATGAATAGCCTCTAAGTTTTCAATGGCCTAATCTAATGATTCTCAGTAAGCCTGAACCCCAAAGGAGAGACTCTGGCTTGAGGGAGCTGCCAAGTGGAGAGACAGGCCCTTTAAATCCAGTAACGACTTCCTGCCTGAACCCCCTTTTAGTTAGTAAAGGTCAGTCCTTTCATGTCAATGTGTTCACTCACTCATCCAATCACTGTAAACAGTAACAATAAATACTCTCCTGAGTGACACCCATACCTTAGTTTTAGGGGAAACAACAACAGTCTTGATACATAATTGCATGTTTCTTCCTGACATGCAATTGTCAGGAAGAGACCCTTAATGGTAATTTCTCCAATTTTGAGTCACAAGAGACCCTTAATGGTAATTTCTCCAATTTTGAAAACATATCCACAAAACTTACAAATCTTCATTTGAGCTGCTGAGCCATTTTCAGCAGCTTTAACAGACAAATGAATTTACTTAGACACTTGTGTATATGCTTCATGTCAATTCGCCTTTAAAAATATTGTTGTCAAAAATCACCTGTACGCATGCTTGAACATTCCAAGAAAAAAGAAAAAGCAGCAGGCAGTACTAATACACATAAACATGGCACATGTCCTTGCTAAATTGGTTGTCTTTGGAAAGAAGAAGGTTATAGGTCTTTCTCTTTGGAGGAAAACACATAACATGATAATTACAACTTTATCTGTGTTCAAATCCCAGCTCTAATAATTAATAGCTGAGTGTTTGAGGCAGGCTTTCTTTTACGCCTCTATTCTCTCATTTGCAAAATGAGGATAATGAAGGAATCTATTTTCTGTGGTGGTGATGAGGATTAACTGAGATAATGAGTATAAAGCATCTAGGACTGTGACTGCAGAACCATATGGTATGTGTTTAATATACGTGACATATTACATTCGAAATAGCATGACATGGTGAGAGCTCAGCTGGATTTCAAATTTAATTTCAGTATTCTAAACACTGAGTTACAGTCTATGACACTGACTTTAAACAGCACCACACATCCCTGCCTTTTAGAAACTTGCTAAAGGATTCAATCATGTCCTGAATCCAATCTAGTAATTGTCTTTTGACATATGAAATTGTCATTCTAACAATAGAGTTCTTAGTCCTTCCAATACATCCACATGACATGAGAAAACATAAAAGAACTCTGACACTTCCAAAAGGAATTGCTATTATGTATTGCTATATTGCTCTATCTTCTGCCTTTGCTGATATAAGAAATGTTTATTTGGCACAGCAATGTCACTATTAACAATTACAATGAACAATTACAGTTAACAATACTATAATGAATACTTGAAATTTGTTAAGAGGGGAGGTCTTAAGTGTTCTCACTACAAAAAAAGAGGGTGCCTATGTGAGGTGATGAATATGGCAATTGGCTTGATTACAGTGATTATTTCACAATGTATATGTACATCAAAACATGAAGTTGTGCACCTTAAATATATATAACTTTTATTTGTCAATTATATCTCAATAAATCTTGGAGAAAAAGAAATGTCTATTTGAAAACAGCTTATATTTAAATAGTAGTTGAATATGTCACCATGCTGACATAAATTCTGGTTGCAGAGAAGAATCTTTGATAAAAATATGTGTGTGCTCTATTCTTTGGAAATGAAAAAGGTGAAAGATACTTCATTCACATATAAACATCCATATTTTTATTACAGAAAGAGAGCCTGATATTTTATTGAATACATAGAGAGAGGGAGAGAGAGAGCACTCTAGAAAGAGTTATGGAGGCTATTGTCATGGAGGATAGACATTAATCAGTAGTACAAATACTAAGTACAAACTCTTGCATTACAGCACTATGAAGGAAAGGGAAAAGTTTGGATGTGAGAGAAGGTTCCCTTAAGAAGTGACATTTGCTTTGACATCTCAAAGCTGAGAGGTGTTTACATTTACAGGAGGGTTGGGAGGGTGAAGAAAAGGAGACCATAGCAAGCACAGGTGTTAAACGGACACATTTAAGGCTCGGTATGGCTGAGAAACTAAAAACAGGCCCATGGGGCTGGAATGCTAAGGGTATGTAGGACAAGTTGAGTGAAAGGTTTCCATGTTTGGGTTATCTGAAGATTGACCACAAAGAATTTCAATAAATTTAACAATTTCATATTTCATGATTCAACAATGAAGGGGAAGTAGACCAGAATATGCAACAGAACCAAAGCCACAGTAACGAGGAGGTCCAATAAATACTTCAGAATGTCTACTTTTACCTGGAATAAAATCCACTTTAACTTCACTATCTTTTGATATAGTTTGACACAGAAAAAGATGCTTCATTTTGCTAGACATAAACAATAAAGACATTTTTTCTCCCACCATTTCCTCTTTAACGAACAAGGAGGCAAAGGAGAGAATGAAAAAGCTGCAAGTACTCACGTCTGCTGAGCTGTCACCCTCGGATCTAGCCAGTTAGATTTCTTTATAGCATTCATTTCCTTAAGTGTGTTTTCCTATTGATGTCTGCAGAGCATCAACCCATAACTATAGTTTTCCAACACATTAAAGAGAAACATTTGCTAGAGCCCCTTATTCTGGAGAAAGGCAAGAAAGTAGAAAGGACTTTGTTCTTGCAAATCATAACAATGCTTAGTAAATGTTTGCCAAAACTAGATCTGGGTACATTAAGAGTGAGAATACAGATTTTCTGATTTCTGATGCTCACCGTAATGTGCAAAGATCCTTCCGACACGCCAAATTAAGTGATGTACTCCTCTGATTTTTTTTTTAATTCTCAAAAATCACAGAATGCAAGGAAAATAAAGACTCCAAGACCCAGCTTGATTTCTGGGGGATACCTCAGATCATCAGAACCAAAATAAAACTCAAAAGAAACACCCACAAACTCCCTGAGATCATGTGATGACCCGCCTTATCACCTAGGTGCCTGCCATGCTGCTCACAGACATGGTCCAGGTTCTGGAAGAGCCCTATGCAAAGAGCTCAATAGCAGGTATGTGATGGAGTATACACTTGGGCATCCAGTTCCAGCTGCAAAAGATAACTTCAAACATTAGTAAGCTTAACAGCCAACACACAATACAATGCAACGCCTTCCTCTGTATTTCAGGCTAACTGGCAGATCTTTCTACAGAAAAGGATCCTGATCCTAACAATGATCTGGTTTACTTGTTTCCTTAGTCTGTATATTAATGTGTTTATTTGTACTGAGGAAGTTTCTGGGTAAGAAAATAAATGTGGTTTCATTTTTGTATGTATACTACATTAGTTCCTATTTCACAGTTATATCTTAAAAGAAGCATTAAACCTGGCAACAGAAGAACAAGGGCTGAAGTTCTGACTTTTCAGTTTCCTATATGTAATTCTCTGGGACAGTAAGTAATTACATATGGGAATTAACCTCTTGGAAAACCAACTTTGTTATTAAAAAAATTGAGCTGTAAAGTCCTTTCCTATTTCAAATGGATGTTGTAGCAGTCAACCAAAATTATAGAGAGAACAAAACTTTGGAAATTTGAAATTGCTTTATAATATAAAGTATCCTTACTACTTTAAAACATACATAGGCTCATTACTACTTAAGCAGATCTACAGAAAGGTATAGAAGTTTAAATCACACCTTCAAAAATATGAAAATCTGAATAAACACGGCAAAACATGGTGATGTGCTCTTTTGTTTGTTTTAATTTGCTTTGATACAATGGATATTAAGAGCATTTGTTGCATTTCAAAACAAAATGATGAAAAATGATGATGATGATGATTACTTATCCTAGAGTGATAAAAAAAATTTAGACTGATAGAATATAGACTGCAATAATATTTTTTAAAGGAGGGCTTAATATCTTTCAAGTAAATTGGGGAACGGAAAGTTTAAAAACTCTGATTCTAGAGTAAAATAAAAAAAAATCATCATTTATTAAGCTATTGTCAAGAACTATGTTAAGCATTTTGCAGACATTATTCAATGCATTACATCAGCTCTGTGAAGTATTATTTTTTCCTCTATGCAATGGAGGATTGGAAAGTTTAGGCAACTTGGAAAGTCCCATAACTAGTTTATAGCAAAGTGTTTCCTTATTTGAACCATAATGATTAATTTGTGATTAGCAAATTTAACAAGACACATTAATTTCAAAACTGGAAGTATATGCTATCCAACAGACAAAAGGTTACCGTATTTGAGTTATAGGCAGGAAAATAAAAACAAAATAATAAGACTAAAATATCATGAAATCTCTAGAATTTTTTTTTTGAAGGTAAGGATTACATCATTGCTTTTCTATCCTCAGTGCCTAAAACACTTGACTATACTCATTAAAGATAAACGTTTTATCTGATTTATTTAAGTCAGGACAGTGTACTTTCTTTACAGACTTTTAATCATTTGGGATTTTTCAGTGTTTTGGATCTATCTTCCTAATTTGTATGTTTCAGTGAGGTTAAAAAATCTAAAGTTGGGCTGGGTGTGGTGGTGCATATAATCCAATACTTTGGGAGGCCGAGTCAAGAGGATCACTTGATGACAGGAGTTTGAGACCAGCTTGGGCACACAGCAAGACCTGTCTCTAACTGCTTCCCTCCGCTGCTACCCAGAAAAAATATGGAAAGAAAGCAGAGAAAAAATCTAAAATTAAACCCAGTAATTTGACGCAATGATGAGTTTAGTCAGGGCTGATGGAAGGATAACAGAGATGGGAAATCAAGTATTTAGGTGCTTTTCTAGGATGTATCACTCCTAACTTTATTTATTTTCTACCCTGATAATTTTTTTGTCATTACTTAGAAATCATAGCCTCTTAAAAGGACTATTTGAATATTGAAATGAAATCAACAAAAAAAACTTTGAAATGGATTCAGAGGTCTCTTTTGCTTTTTCACATTTGTTATGGTCTAAATCAGAGGTCATCAAACTATAGCCCATGGATCACATGTAGCCCACTTTGTCTGGTTTGGTTGTTTGTTTGCGTTTTCCTGGTCCAAGAGCTAACAATGGTTTTAATATTTTTAAGTGGTTATATTTTTAATAGTTATATTGATTCCTACATAATATCCTCAGTTTTACCTTGGCCTGTAACACCTAAAACATTTACTATCTGGCCCTTTAAGAGAAAGTTTGCTGGCCCTTGGTCTAGACAATTTTTCTTCTTCTTAAGAGGAATTCAAAGCTTTTGTGAAATGGTTATATTGTTGGTAAGAGTGTAAGTGGATACTGAGTTTACAATGAAGCATTTTTGGCCCTTATCCACTTAGAATTTTCTGTCTGCTGTCTGGAATCTGTTACTTAGGGTTTTATTTGTCATTAAATGTTTGGCATCTTTTCCCATCCTTTCTCATGAAGGATGGATGGCCATTTCCTAGTGAAGCAAAAAAGTATAATGTAAATTTGTATAAACATCAATTTAGATAGTTTCTCAAAGACCAAAAGAAAAAATAAGAGTTTGGTACTTACTGAGACAAAAAAAAATGTTTTTCCTCTTATATTCAATTTCTTATAAAAGTTAAAACTGAAAGCATCTTGGACCAATGACTGCTTTAATATTCCCTGAAGCAGAGGGTAGGGAGGGGAGGAGGAACCAGAATCACCCAAGGAGCATTTTTCAATTACACTCCTCCAGGTTCTCCTCCCCTCTCCCCAGGCAGCAAGATTCTTTTCTGTGGAAAGCAAATGCTCTCCCAGGGAGCATTTAGTAATTACTCAGGGGTATTGGGTTGGAAACCAAGGAGCAGCTTTAATGCCCTCAGTGCAGAGAGTTCAACCATGTTCTCTAGCCCAGACACTAAACCACACCCAAGATCAGCTGGGGTCCACCAAAAGATGCTTAGACAAATAAAGAATCAACACTAACACCTGGATTACCAACACCAGTGTGACTAACACTTTTTCCCTTGCAGGGGCATAACCTTGAGGCAATTTTATTTAAGAAAAGACCAATATAACTTGTTTCATTTTTACCAGAAAAATTGTGTTGTGGATGATTGGAATTTTTATCCTTTAGACAAATTATGAATACTGTTGGAAGCTACTTAAAGATAAATTAGTAAGTTAATAAATAATTTTTTAAAGTAGAATGGAACAATATTCTCAGCTTGATTTTGCAGAGTTAAATTCTCGTCAATTGAATCTTTACATATTTGGACTTCCTCTGGGAAAATATAAGCAATATAAACAAATCTCTGGATAATTTTAACTTTTTAAAATGTCTGATACATTACTCTATAAAGTATTATTTTTCATCTCTGTATTTAACAGTGATCTAAACTGATAATGGCTAGGATATACAATCTAAATCTGGTTAAATTACATAATGACTGTTTAATCATAATAGCCATCTTTTATTCTGCTCTAAAAATTCTAAGCATATTCATTGTCATAGCATATCTACCAGCAAATTTGGGAATTTCTATCTTACAGATGCAAAAGCATCATATGGAGAATATATATATATATAGCATTTATAAATTTACAAAGGAAGTGGCTTAAAAATAATTCGGTAGTTAAGTTATACTGTTAACAATCTTTTTTTGATGTCTGCCTTGTTGATATCTGTCTACTAAGCAAAATAAAAATTATAATGGTATTAAGATGGCCAGAAAATTCAAATCCTAAAGTAACTTTTGGTGCCTATGTTCTCATTGGATTCAACCACATACTTGCCAAATCTCGGCTTCTGTTTATAATATGTAGGTAATATGCCCTGTGGATAATACAAATGGTTTCTGAAACATGAAAGAAACGCTCAGTGATACAGATCCAGGGGAAAGAAAAGTTACATTTTCGTGCTTAATATATAACCCTGGTCATTTCTATGGAAACAGATCGTTATGAGAAATCACCATCATGTAACTGCATAATAAGGCCTGTTAGAATTGATTGCTAATAATTGTAATGTGCTTAGGGAAAAACAGCATGGAAGCCTCACCTACCTGAGACAACAAAATGAAATCACTAAGTACAGGAAATCAGAGTGAATAATAACAGTGTATTCCCATCTGCCCACCCAGGAAACCCTTCCTTCCACCTTTGTTACAATGTGATAGTCTGACTGTTGCTCTAATATGAAAATCCATAAATAGGGTTTTGGAGTAGCTAGTTGGTGGTGGTCAGCTGTACCATAAGTTAAATGCAAATTTTTTGAGAGTGAGAGGAAAAAGGAGAGACAACTTTATTAGAGTGAAATAGTCAACCTGCCTGCAGACATGCTGACCCATCAGTCATTCCAACAGGTTTAAACTCTCAGGTGGGTGTGGTATTTCCGTTCACATCCCCAGTACTGGGCTCAAAGCTCCAGGACTGAAAGTAGAATGCCTCCTAGAACTGTTAAGTCTTCAACACAGTAGAAAAAAACGGGGGATAGGGGTTGGGGCGGGGGGGGTGGGCAGTGGGATTTGGGGAAAACAAAAAACTTCCAATTTTCACTTTATTTAAAAATGAATAAATGCGCTTAATTCACTGTTGCTCAAGAAATAATCTCCCGCGTGTTTCAGCATACCAAAAAGGCCTAACTTACGCCAGGTGTGTAAATCATAAAGGAGCCAAAGTCTTCCGTTTGTTTCTAAGGCCTCCGGGCGCAGGAACCTCGCGGAGGCCCGTGTGGTCCCTCGGGGCTCTGCACGCGTGGGAGCTGCCCGGCCTGCTGAGCCTGGGAGCGCCGGCAGCGCGTTCCCACGCTCAGGCCGGGTCGGGAAGCCGTGGTGACCCCTAGGGGCTCCTTTCCGCGGTTCTCGCCCTCGCAGCCCCGCCCCAGCCGCCCCTCCCCTCCTGGTTCCAGTCCCGGAGCGTGGGAGCGCAGCTGCAGCGAGCCGGGAGCGAGGCGCGGAGGCACCTCCAAGGATGCGCGCCCGCGACCCGGCCAGCAGGCTGAGGACCAGGCGAGGCGCGGGGGGCCTCCCACACTGGGCGCCGACCTGGGCCACAGCCAGGGTAGCCGGCCACTTACTTGATGTCTTCCCACACCTCGGGGCCGTAATTGCGGATCACCAGCAACTCCAGGGCGTGATTCACAAATCCGTACTGCGGGGACAGGGAGAGACTTGAGCGTCAGGGACCCGCTGTACCTGAGAAGCGGCTTGGGGGCGAGGCTGCTGCCTCTGCTCCCATGGCGCTGGCTTAACCTTTCACCCCGCCCCTGACTCCTCTCCCTTAGGGGTACTATGCACTAAAGGAGTCGGATCGTGGGGGCGCAACCCCCCAATCCCTGGTGGATTCTCCCCGTCACCATCCGCCCCACCCCCACGCTATCTTCCCACCCTCCTCACCTGTCACCGCTCCGGGAGAGGCTGGGCATCGGGGGCAGCGCGGGGACGCGAACCCGGAGCCTTCCCTTCCGCTGGCGCTCAGCCTCCCACACTGGTGGGGCCGGCCAGAGCCGGGAAGACCCCACGCCTCCGCCGCACCTCCCCTTCCCGAGCTCAGGAAGCTGCGGTGTGGAGCGGCAAACCCGCCTGGGAAGCAAAGGCACCGATCGCCCCCGCCACGACTCGCGGCGTTCCCACCTCCCCTGACTGGGCGCGGGCAAGGAGTGAGGCTGCTCCCGTGGCCGGCAGTGAGCGCCCAGGGCCCCCGAGCCAAGCTCCGGCTGCGCGGCCAGTTCCCTCGCTGCCAGGCCGGCCGAGGAGGGGTGAGGTTCGGGCCGCACCCGGCTGAGAGCACTTACCATGGTGTCTGCACCGGGAGCCGGGGAGGCAGCCCCCACGCAGAGGTACGGCCGAAGGGACCCAGGCAGAGGCGGCAGCGGCTACAGCGCAACCGGGCCGGGGAGGCAGCATCGAGCTGGAGCGAGAACAGCCGCCTTGGCCCGCCCTGATTGCCACCTCTTCCCAGCCAATGGCGAGTCGAGCCGCAGGGGGCTGGTCGGTGCTCCCCAGTTCTTCAACCAATCAGGGACAGAGGAGGGAATTCGGATGCTCTCAATGCTGCTGCGCTCCAGTGCCTTCCCGCCCCCGCCTGGTGACAAGGCCTTCATTTGAGGCCATAACAATGACAGTGGAGAAGCCCCAGCCGTGCTCCTTGCATGAATTCTGGAGCAGAGGAAATGCAGCTCTTGTGGACCCACTAAATGTATTATTATTCAGAGATCTGCCCTCAGTGGTTAACACAAGCAAAAGGGAACAGGGCGTGTTTGTTGTGTGAGCGTGTACGTGTGTACTTTGCAATGGACAGACCTTAAAAGGAATATCCTCTGTTGCTGGCATCCTCATGCTTATCTTTGTCTAGCGGAAAAACATTTCCTCTGTGGCTTGGTCCCACAACAGTTTATGGCAAATTTAAAGCTGGTAATATTGAGAAAAACATATTTTCACTTCTAGTCAATGAGACTAGTTGAGTGAAGCACCAAAAATTTTCAGTAATGTAGTTTGGTGGACGTTATGTTAAATCCAGTCCTGCCCTTTACTAAACTGTACAAGATCCAGCGATATTCTAGGCTTGATCCCTGTGGGACACCTTTCCCTACACCATGTCCGGGAGCCATAATTCCAGGGAGTTTGTAACCCTCTAGAGCGGGCCTCTGTTGCTGTTTCTTAGCAACAGACGAACTGGAAAATGACCAGTACAAAATGCACAGACTTTAACTACTCTACCTCCAGCTTACATTCTACCAGGCCCTTAGGTTAGTTAATGCTCTGAGTCCTGCCATAGAGAGAAGATGAGAGGAACAGGAAGTGGCAGCTTATTAAAGCTGTTTGTACCTGAGGTATATGGACTCCAGTTGACTTTTAGGGCAAGGTCAAAAGTGAGGTCACCAGTCTCAAGTGGACCTGAGAAGCCAGATGGTATTTTAAGATGTGCATATTTTGTTGTGAGAACAGTCTCAATATGGTTAGAGAAAAATGTCAAAACAATAAGATTGTGCTGACATCAGCACCGAGAGAGCTATGATGAAGGAAACTGATACAGAAATAGTGGCATGTAGCAAACAAACAAAACAACAAATTACTTTAAAAATTTCCATTATTGGTGGAATGAGTAAATAGATTACAGCCTTTCATACAATCTAACACCTTGTTTTAAACAACTATTAAAACATTAATCATTATTTAACAACAATTAACCACTAATTTTGAACCATTAAAATGGCACATTAAACAACCATGAAAAAGCAGGAGGGTGACTAGAAAATGATGATGCAGAAAAGTATTGTCAGGTTTACAAAACACCACAAGAATGTAATCATTTTCCATTTTTTAGAGTTAGTATACAGTAAGGTGCTATGTGGGTAATAACACAGGCACATACATGTTGCTGTAAGAATAATGGTTTGGGAGGAAACACAGGAAGTGTTGATATGGCTATCGTCTGTAATTAGAACCAGTGGCTGGAATGGCCATGACTCTTACTTTTTATAACTTTCTGTATCTTTTGATTATTTTTCTACACAGATGAATTTTCTTTACTGTTACATAACTGAATTTTTTTTAACTTTTATTTTAGTTTCAGGGGCACATATGCAGGTTTGTTATATAGGCCAATTACATGTCTTGGGGGTTTGGTGTACAGATTACTTTGTCACCCAAGCACTAAGCATGGTACCCAACAAATAGTTTTTTGATCCTCACCCTCTTCCCACCTTCCATCCTCAAGTAGGCCCCAGTGGTCATTGTCCCCTTCTTTGTGTTCATGTGTACTCCGTGTTTAGCTCCCACTTGCAAGTGAGAACATGTGGTATTTGGTTTTCTGTTTCTGTTAATTTACATAGGATAATAGTCTCCAGCTCCGTCCATGTTGATGCAAAGGACATGATCTCATTCTTTTTGATGTCTGCATAGTATTCCATGGTATATATGTACCACATTCTCTATCCAGTCTACCACTGATGGACATCTAGATTGAGTCCATGTCTTTGCATATAGTGAATTCACATATTAATTCACATATATTCACAAGTATTCATTTTGTGAATAGTTTATTTCATTCCATGTGACTAGTGCTGTGATGAACGTATATGCATGCATGTGCCTTTATGGTAGAATGATTTATACTCCTTTGGGTATATACTCAATAATGAGATTGCTGGGTCAAATGATGTTTCTGTTTTAAGTTCTTTGCGAAATCACCAAACTGCTTTCCACAATGGCTGAACTAATTTACATTCTCACCAGCACTATATAAGAGTTCCCTTTTCTCTATAACCTTGCCAGAATCTGTTGTTATTTGACTTTTTAATAATATACATAAAATAACTTTTAACTTGCTAAAAAAACTTAAAAAAAAAAACTATGTCTCTTATCTGTTCACCTTTGAGCAGCAATGGACCCATGCTCTCTGGTTTACGGTGTGTTGTGGTGTCCTCCACCTTAAACTTTACATAGGCAAAAGATAAGGAGATTGAATTGTTCTCTGGGAATGAAAAATGAGGAAAGCTCACTTAGAGAAAGATATGAGAGGAAATGAATAATGAGCATTTCTGCCAATGTCCCTTTCTCTCTGTCTCTTTCTCTCTATTTCAGTTCTTCTACCCTCACTTTCCCTTTTGTCCAATAACTTTTTGCACTTGTTGTTGTTTTTGTCCAACACATTTTTGCATTTGTAAATGTTTTTACTGTTTTATTTTCCAATTGTCTTATATTCATTCTGAATCTAAAAGAAGTTCTAGACACTAAACATTTACTGACTTTTGTTTGGCCTACAAGATATTACACAGGCTGTGATGTTCAGGGACAGAAGGATGCCTGCCAGCTGTAGAGGATCTCAAAAGAGGGGTCACCATTCTTCTATAAAAGCTCCCTACCTGTTGTCATCACTGCTGGCCAAGTAGCATAGGAATCATATCAGGAAGTAGATTATGCTATATTCTCTGAACAATGCATTGCATTCTTGTATGTATGCCCCAAGCTGAGGAGGATCAGTTAAAGATGAAAAAGAAGAGCTTAGGGAATGGCTTAGCCAGCCCTAAAATCAACATGAAGTTCAGTCTAATGAATGAACAATAAGTAAAAAGGCAATATGTGGCTTTCAGAAATGTCAGCTGAAGTGACTCACATTTTCAGCGAATAAAAATAAATTACTTTGGTAAGTTAAGTATTAAAAGTATTGTAATCGGCCGGGCGCGGTGGCTCACGCCTGTAATCCCAGCACTTTGGGAGGCCGAGGCGGGTGGATCACGAGGTCAGGAGATCGAGACCATCCAGGCTAACACGGTGAAACCCCGTCTCTACTAAAAATAACAAAAAATTGGCTGGGCGTGGTGGCGGTCTCCTGTAGTCCCAGCTACTTGGGAGGCTGAGGCAGAAGAATGGCGTGAACCTGGGAGGCGGAGCTTGCAGTGAGCCCAGATTGCGCCACTGCACTCCAGCCTGAGTGACAGAGCGAGACTCCGTCTCAAAAATAAATAAATAAATAAAGTGTTGTAATCATTGTTTTCAAGGCTTTGCTAGTTAATGTGAAAATTAGAAACCTTTGATTAAGGATAAAGGAAGATACATATATATTTGGGGGTGTTCCCAGGTCTGTGCATGTGTTTGTCAAAGCTCTGGTGTTTTGCCAGTTTTTTCTGTGGCTTCCATTTTTAGATCATTTTATGGAGCAGCATGTCATTTCATTTCAACTATTTCTTATACAATGATTTGCTTTATATTCATGTGCCTCTTTAATCTCTGTGGCTAAGAGCCGAATATTGATTCTTTGTGAAGCTTCTGCTGCTGGTCTTGGTTAGTCGCACAATAATCACATCTGTTGTCATTATTTTTGCTAATATAGTCACTCAATACTTCAAGCAAGGAATTCAGAATACTTACAAGCAAAGAGAAAAGCAAATTCTAAATGACACATTCGGTGATGTGATTCTAGATCAATAGAACAAAGAGAGATCCAAGAATTCAGATTCCTAAAGAAGTGACATTCAGATTTATTGTTAACTTGCCAATGAACTGTAAGTTTTGTCATATGAAAAAGGTAGTATTGAATATTAAAAGAAGCACTTTTTAAATTACTTTTTTCTACATCAAATTCTTTTAATATTTACCTTGCCATCAGAACTTATAAACAAAAAACATTAGTCATGCATACATATATATGTATATCCATTTATTTATAAGGTTTAAACAATTATGTATGAAAATTAAAAGAAATTAAAAGAGAATTAAAGATGATGCTTAGTATCAATGTTATAATAAGTAAAAGCATTAAGTTAAATCAACACATCACTATAACATACTGGGAGTATATGAAATTAAATAAAAATATGTTTCATTTTCAAGAAAAGCTTATGAATACCAGATTGAGCTATAAAGTTTTGCTTCTGAAGTCAAATTGATTAAAATAAAAACTAACTTGTTTTCATCTTCTTTACAGCCTAAGCTTGTACATGGCTGGGAGAGATTATCTTAATCTTTTTCTTTAGTTTATTAAGGATAGATCTAACATGATTATGTCAAAGATTGATTGACTTTGAGCACTGAAAGGTATTTTGGAGGTCATTTAGTCAATGATATTTTCCTATATCTGGAAATCTCTTTATGAACTTGTTGGGGAACAGTGAAAACTTAAAATCTTAGCCAAGAAGTATAATTAGTAAAGTTATGAATTGTTGTCCTCAGAAAGTGTGGAGGATATTAAGATTCCCATCAAAGTAGAGCTAAATATACTTTCTTTCCCATAGTCTCGCCCAGTGGAAGTTGGAATCTAGATTTCAAAAGCTGTCCATAACTCTCAAAAGCCTCTAGATACTATATTAAAATAATGTTCTTCTCTAGTCTATGTTGAAACTACTTATTATTATAGATATAAATAGAAAATAGCAGGGAATAAGAGCCACTAATTAAAATATTTGGTTGCTTCTTTTTGTAACTTTATTTGATTTAAAAAACAAAAATTAGCTATGGGGACAGTTTAGTGTAGGAGTTAATTGTACAGATTCTTTAGTCAGACTGCCTGTTTTCAACCATTGGACAAATTACTTAATGTATTTGAACTACAGTTTCCTCACTTGTAAAACAGGAAAAATAACAGATCAATATACTCCAGTGCTGAGAAGGTTAAAAATATTACCTACCCCACAGGTTTGCAAGTGTGATGCTTAAAGCAATGATTGCAAAATGTTAAGTCCTCACAAACTGTTAGTTAATATTGTTTTTGAGGTGGTGGTTGTTATTGCTGTGTTTGAAGTCAATGATTAATGAAACTAAACCCCTTTTGTCCACCTTATATAAATGTAATATGTCCACTGACAGTGAATGCATAGTGAAAAGAGCTGCACCATGTCAAACTAAAAGATCTAGATCACCCTTGTCAGTTACTTGCTTGGCAATTCAACCTGTCTGAGCCTGGAACTTCCCATTTTATAATGGTGATAGCATTGCCTGGCCCACCTTGCTCAACTAAGATACTAAGAGGATCAAATGAGACATCTTCGAAAGCTTCTTGTAAAATTTAAAGGACTACATAACTCTGTTACCGATTGTTTGGAGTTAGTAACAATAAGCCAAGGACTCACATATGAAACATTGAGTGACAACTGACAATCTGCAAGAAAATCTCTTGCCTACATCGACTTTTCATGTTCAGATTACTGGTTTTGTTGTTGTTGTTGTTGTTGAAAATAAAATCCAAATCTAACTAGATTCATAACATACAACTATATTATCAGTTTTCTAACAAATATAGCATGAGTAAAAATAATGAAAAGGAGATAAATTGTCCATTAATATGTTTACATAAAGCATGAGCTTTTTTTTTCCTGAATGGGTGCTTCATCAGCAACATAAAAAGTTAAAATTAGCTTATGCTAATGTATTAAAATCTTACTAAGTTTTATTGACATTTGAAGCAAAAGAATTGCATTGAGTGTATTTACTGGTATGCTTATAAAACATACATCTGTAATAAAATGCCATTTAGAATATATTTTGAAGGATCTTTAACTATGACTTACAGTGTCTCCACATGATAGTTCCCCCATGTGACAAAAAACATCAAAATATCAACCTAAAATATGGAAACAAAAATACTTAAACTGGTTTGGCCACATTTAAGGAACCATTAATGATACTTCACTTGAGAAGCATCAATACCCTATTGAAAAAATTGGAAAGTAAAGCAATATTTGTTCCAGTGGAATGATTCTAATGCTTTGTAGTTAAAACAAAAACAAAAAACAGGAGACCTTACCTCTAAATAACCTTTGTGGTTTACAAAGTACTTTCACAGGGGTTATTCCTTATGGTTTTCTATCAGGTAGATAGTATGTTGCTGTGTTTGCACATGAGGACCTGCAGCCCAGAGCAGTGAGGGGCTCACACATTAATCAGGGTCTTCACTTGCCTCATTGACCCATTGCAGATCACCTAACCCAAACCCACAACTCTTTCCTGAAGATATCATTTTTTTTTCCTTTACGTGTCACGAGAATCAACAGTTGGTGTTTTTTGTTATAACACCTAGTAGAGTGGAAAGAAATTAGAAGATAAATATCTGCAACATTATAGATATGTAAATTGGGAGAATTCACATCATTTCCCTAAACTTTACTTTTCTTGTCTGTAAAAATAAGGTAATACAAATAGCAACTTATATAGGGTTTTGTAGGGTTTTTGGTAAGGATCAAAAGAGTTAACACTTACGAAAGCATTTTATGTATAGTAATATATAATGTACATTTAATTTTCTGTCTTTATTATCAGGTTCTCTATTTGAATTATATGAATTTTAAACATTCTTAAAATAAGAAAATACCACAAAGGAGATAAGAGCATGAGTGGTACTCATAATGGTATTCTAGCTTTTGGCCCTGCTGTGGACAAATTGCTGAACGTCTCTAAACCTTAGTTTTCTCTCCTGAAAATAAAGCAATTACAGAGATTAAATGTGATGATATCTATAAAGGACATATTACAGTGATTGATACATGGTGATATGGTTTGGCTGTGTCTCCACACAAATCTCGTCTTGAATTGCAGCTCCCATAATTCCCACCTGTTGTGGGAGGGACCCTGTGGGAGATAATTGAATCACGGGGGCAGTTTCCCCCATACTGTTCTCATGGTAGTGAGTAAGTCTCACCAGATCTGATGGTTTTATAAGGGGAAACCCCTTTGGCTTGGTTCTTATTCTTTCTTTTGTCTGCTGCCATGTCAGATGTGCCTTTTGCCTTTTGCCATAATTGTGAGGCCTCCTCAGCCGTGTGGCACTGTGAGTCCATTAAGCCTTCTTTCTCTTTATAAATTACCCAGTCTTGAGTATGTCTTTATCAGCAGTGTAAAAACGGATGAACATACACCGTAAATGTGACTTTTATCATTCATTTAAGCATCCTGTTTATAAAAATGTAAATAATCCATTTTCACATATGCTGTGTTTTCGATAAAATAACTTGCTTAAATCCAATCCTGGCATCATAGATAATTTAAGCCATGGTTTTCTGATCCCGTCCTCTTTTGTGACTCCAGTCCCACAGACAGGAACCAAAGCCAGCAGAACAAAGCAGCCCCAGATGTGTTCTACTCTATTATCTGAAGTAAATGAAAATCAACCCTGAGGTATGTTTTTATATTCTGTCTACCAAAATAATGTGCATTCTGTTTATTGAACTGCTCTTATTTCTTCCTTGCAATCTGTTACTTTCATTTTCATTCCTGCCAAGAGAGAAATAAAAAAGTTGCTCATAATTTCTAAGGCGATTTAGACCTACTTTTTTGGCCTGTAATGGAAATCTGCGGTTTCTTTAGTCTGATCCTAGGTAAAGCTGATTTTAGTGAAGCCAGGGGTTTTTACACATTAAAAAGAAAAAAATGGAATGGTGGAATAAACTGAGTTAGGGAGTCCTGAGGTTTATGTGGATTCTCTTACCTATGTAACCACTAGGCATGCCATGGTGGATAGAATAATTCCCACCCCCACACGTCTTCCCTGACAAGATGTCCATATCCTAATCCTCAGAGCCTGTGACTATGTCACCTTATAAAGCAAAAGGTACTTTGCATATGTGATTAAGTCAAGGACATTGATATGCAAAGATTATCCTGAATTCTGAGTGGGCCCAATTTAATCACAACAGTTCTTATAAGGGAGAGTCAGGAGTGACAAAGTAAGAGAAGCAGGTCTGATGATGGAAGCCGAGGTCACAATGATGCCAAGAAGAGGCCATGAACCAAGGAAGGCAGAGGGCCTCTGGATGCTGCAAAAGGAAAGGAAATAGACCTCTTGGAACCTCTAGAAGGAAAGCAGCCATGCTGACACTTAGATATTTGGAATTCTGATCTCTAGATCTATAAGCTAAAAAAATTCTGTTTTTTTTTAAGTCACTAAGATTATAACAATTTGTCACAGCAGCAGTAGGATACTAATTCAGTATGTCAAGTAGCTTTCCTAACCCAAATTCTGAGACATCTCAGGGACCTGGGTATGGACTAAATGTTTGCGTCTTTCTAAAATTCATATGTTGAAGCTCTAACCTCCACTGTGATGGTTTTTAGGGCCTTTGGGAGGTAATTCTATTTAGATAAGACATTGATATGGGCCCTCCAAGGTGAGATTAGTATCCTTATTAAGAGAAAGAGACCAGAGCTTCCTCTCTACCATGTGAGGATACATCAAAAAGATAACCGTCTGCAAGTCAGGAAGCGGGACTTTACCAAGAACTGGATCTGCCTGTATCTTGATCTTGGACTTCTCAGTTTCCAGAACTGTAAGAAATTGATTTGTGTTGTTTAAGCCACCCAGTCTATGGTATTTTGTTATAGCAGTCTGAGCTGACAAAGCAGACCTAGAAGTTACATTTCTATGTTAATCTTTCAGAAATATCAATAATAGTGGAAAGTCTCCCACTCTACTTCTACATATATCCTAGTACTGTGTGTGTCAATCTCATATTCTACTGTTGGCCATGCTGTGTTTCACTGAGAAAATGGCAATACTGGTGCTGCTTATATATAAGGTAGGATTCCCCTCTCACAGATAGCCACAGCTTTCTTTAAAAGAAGGTACATTTCCCGAGGATTAATCATTAGGGAAATTATTGGTTTCTCCATTAGCCAGAGTTGTGCATCACCAGCAACAGAAACCAGCTATAGCTGACTTAAAGGGAAAAGAAACATAAATATTGGATAGCTCACAATATCATAAAGATGACTGAAGAGATGGTGAGAGAAACATAAACTATTTGTAAATTCTACTCATTTCCTCCATAAAAGGGAATGCAAAATGTCATTGATTTGGGTTAGTTGTACTTCCTATATTACATAAGTATCACGATTTGGGGTGACTTTTTACAAGGAGATAGCATTATTTAATCGTTTTTGATTTGGGGAGTTAAAAAAGTATCTTTGCTTTTTGTGCTGGTAGGTGCATTATAGGGTCTAAAGTTTTTTTCCTACCTTCCTTCTCACAGGTAGAGAACCTCCTTCTACTACCATCAAAGTCCTTGATCTGTTTCCCAACATGAATTAACCTTTCCATGTTTTCGTTACATTTGAACATCAGGAATGTGTAGACGGAAGCAGTTCATCCTGGGAGGTGAGAATGAGCATTGAAAGAGCCATCCGTGAAACCGTAAGGCTGGGAAAGAGAAGTGAAGGGGCACATGGAAGTGTTCATCTCTGGGGCAGGGAAAAACAATCCGGAGAAGATGAGTCACACCTCATTTGTAACCCATGAATGAAAATCAATACTGTTACTTATCATAAATTACACTGAACATAGTGCTTACACTTGAGTATCAATGCAGTAAAACCACTATGAGCCAATTGATTGACTTTTCTAGATCCCAATTCTATCATTCATCTTCTGGTATTCATCTTCTGGCTTAGCTACTATTTCCTGGCACAGATTCTTAATAAAGATCCTTTCTCCTTGGTCCCAGATGTAACCCTGTGGTGTATGGTCTGGCATTTTAGGGGATATCTATCTCTTCTGTTCTTACCTCAGTGTCCTGAATCATGCATACTCGTCGCTCTAACCTATTGAGCCTAGGAGACAGGAACAAACAAAATAGAAGGGGTTCTAGGAAGCTTGGTGTTTCTCTGCCTCCCTAAATATGTCCATGGTCCAGGAAGTAAGGAAATTATGAATTCACATGCTTATCTAACAATCCACAAAGTTATGGAAATGTTAGCTATTAGTAGAGCTTGCCATCCGGTGGGCAAATACTAATAGAGTTACCCCAACCCTTAGGGAAGTACTGCAATAGTCTCCTGGGATTGAAAATGCTGATAAATATCTCTTGGGGCATTTCTTTAAAATGCAGATCTCTGGAACCCAACTCTGCTGTTTTAATTGATAAATAAGTTGTTGTTTCCGGGAGTCTGCACTTTAACAAGTGCTCCCTCCCTCCAATGACTCTCAAGCAGGTGGGCCACATTTAGAGGTCCACTGTCTGGTTTCCAGGTGAAGTCTAATTCATAGTACTCTGATTTTCTCTTACCTGATCTCAAAGTTGAAAAGTAAATGGCACCCAATGTGCAGGGAACTCCCTGAGATTCCTAAGCAGGAATCAAATATAAGGAAATTACACACAGATTATTTCCAGCTGTGACAGTAATGAGCTTCTTTTAGCAACTGCATGGCCAAACTCCTGCTCTTAGTGCAAAACTCCTGCTCTTAGTGCAAAACTCCTCCTGGGAAGAAGCTACCATTGGTATGGAAATGGAGGGTGGGAGGTAACCAGATTGCAAGAACTGATAGTCCAGAACTCGGTTTATTCTCCCTTAAACTAAAGATGGGAGATAGGCGGGAACTCTGAAGTCTCTTCTCATCCCACACTGCAGCCAAAGAGAAGTGGCACCCTCTATCCACATTTTTTTTTTTTTACCTGTCAGTAAGAGATATTTCCCTGCCGCCTTTGCCAGGTGATAAAAGTCCTCTTTATTTTGGTATGTCCTTTTGTGGGCGGGGGGGGGGGGGGGGGGTTGCTCTACCTCTCCCACCTGGAACCACTCAGGTTTATAATAGGTAGAGCATGTATTGCTCTCAACTCAGGTGTATTTCATCTTTACCTGTAGCTAAAGGATTCTAGCTCTGATTCACCAGGCTCAGTAATTGATGGACACAATCCATGGAGCACTATCAGGGTTTTCTTGATTTGGGAGCACGAAGAGGGGACTTCAGACTCTCCCCATGCAGGCTCAGATGGCTTGCCACATTGATTCTTCCTTTACTGTCACTTAAACTCAGGATTACATTGCTCCCAGGCTTCAAGATGGGCCTAGTCTAGACAAAAACTTTCAGTCTCATGATTATGTGAAACTCTCAAATAATGTGTACCATGAAGTGTAGAACATTGCCTGACACTGAGTTAGCTCTCAGTAAATTACTTGTAGCAGGAATTGTACTGATAATGCAAATCATTCCAATCTTCTTTTAGCTTTTCTTGCAGTGAGGTTGGCTGTGTCACTTGTTCAAGGAAAGAGAATGTGAACAGAAGGAATACGTGTGTCCTCCAGGACTGAACTTAAAAATTTGCCACACATACTCCCCAAGATTCCTTCTCCAACTGCCCAGTAGATATATATACTCAAGGTGACATTGAAGATGAGAGTGATCTGTTGGTCCAGGTCATGAGTGGCTGGTGGAGCTTCAGCCCTCATCACCCTCATCCTTAGATAATATGTGAGAAAGGAACTGCTCCTGTGAGTCACTCAAATTTTGAGTTTGTTTATTGAAAGATTAGGCTACTTTCAAAGACACAGTACCAGCTCAGGACCTTGCAGGCTGAAGATTGCTTACTGTGATGATAACTCTGCTTCCATGAACATCCGTCTTAGGGCAAGAAGCTGAGTAAATTATTTATCCCACACTCTATCCATCCAAACAGGTGAGGGGCTGTGCCTTGCCCTTGTGTGAAGAAACCAGGTTCTATTCAAGAGTGTTACTCTTTCTGTGAACAGGAGGCAAAGGTATGAGCTGAGACTCTACCTGCTCTCAAAATCATCAGAAAGAGGGCTCAGAAGGAGTCACAATTACTGAACTGCTGACTGAAAGACTCTCTGGGGACTCAACCCATGGCTATTAATGTCAGTGTCACTGGGCCAGCTCAGATGCAAACCCACCACTACTGTGTCATCCACAAAATACATACAGCTATCGCATATCAGCATTGTGGGAGAACGGTATTAAAGTGAACTTCACTTTATAGAAACTGTATTCCTGACAGCCACATACAGTTCTTATGACCATGAATCAAATCGCATTTATATGAACAAAGGCAAGTAATTTAATAGAACCCTATTACAGAACATAGGATTCTCTACAGGACAGACTTTACACAGTGAACATTCACACTTAGTTTTATCATTAATTTTCATAGGGCAGGTTTGCTGTACTAACTAGGCATGCAAAGACCATGGGTCTCAGCAGGTAATATAAAGTGATGAGGCAGGTTGGGTGGATTTGAGGTAAAAGTGAGCGTTGGGGAATGCAGTAGATCATGAATATTTACCCCACCCAAATGAGGCAGCTCCCACTCAGGGACAACGGTTCATTGTAGAGACATTGTGGGACAAGTGATGCTGCATACAATGAGTGATCTCGATTTCTTTGTGAAATCATATGATTTAAAAATGTTAGCATGATAACCTGATCCTACTTGGAAGTTAATAAGTTAGCCTGCTGCATTTTGTAATGCTGGCAAAAACCGTAAGATTTCTGGGTCAGTGAGTAAAGAATGTATTACTCACAGCAACAGCAATAGCCAGAGTAGCCAGTTTCTTGAGTCCCAAGTCCACAGGGTGATGAAAAGAGGTCCAAGTAACGCCTGTCCATGCAGTAGGCTACATCACAAGAGAGGAACCCTGAACTTAGGGAACATGAATCTTTTATACTGAACAGTAAGCGTGCCTGCCCCTTGCTCCAGAAAGAAATACTATCTCTATCTTCCAAGACGATTTGCTGTACAAACACCCCAGGAAAGCTAGTGCAGAACAAAGACACTCAGAACCTCTGCTCATAAGACATGCATAAATATGAGAGACCACCTCCCAACAGTATTCTCCCCTAGTTTCTACACCATCTTGTCTTCTGGAGAATTTTCCCTTGGATACATCAGTCCATCAGCACTCTGATTAATCTGATCAGGAGAGCTGGGCCTAAATCTGTTCAATTTGGCTTATATAGCATTTAACTGCAGTTACTATCAACAGGACTTCAAGCAGTAGAATGAGGCCAACCTGCAAAACTGACCTGTCATGCCCTGCCTCACCATCTTATCCAGTCCTGGACTCAACCAGCTGAACTAATCCCTAAACCACCAAGTCTACCTTAGAAAAACAGGTATGTTTTTCCTCAAGTTTCTCTAGCGATCTTTCCACTTAGCCAAAGGCATTATTGCAGATACAGCAGGGTGTATTTGCAATTACACAGACTCCACCTTGGCCTGCAAGGGGAAAGTCTAGGGTGATTTTATTATCATTCATAAGGACCCTGGCCAGCAAGTTGTGTATTAGCTGAATGCCTTTGGCAGACAAGGTGGTATATTTAATCCCTTCAGCTAAAAGGGAAAATTTTTAACTGTGTGATTCCCATCACAGGGATAACAGCTTGCATTTTGTGCATAAATGATTAATTAGTTATTCCTCAAGGAAGCTTCTCTAGAGTTCAAGGATGGCTTCCCTTTGAAAACATCTCATAGTCTCATGCAGGTATCATGATCTACTGCTGGGATTTCCTTGAAGACACTTGAAGATCTCTTATCCTTCATATGATGGTTACTTTTATGTGTCAACTTGACTTGGCATCAGGGTGCCCAGATTAAATATTATTTCTGGGTGTGTTTGTGAGGGTGTTTCTGAATGAGATTAGCATCAAACTGATGGACTCAGTGGAGTGATTGCCCTCCCCTGCCTTGGTAGGGATCACCTGATCCATTTGAAAGCCTGAATAGAACAAAAGGCAGAGGAAAGAAGAATTCAGTCTTTTTTTCTCCCTCGTTGCCTGAGCTAGACCCTCTGTATTAGTCCATTCTCACGTTGCTATGAAGAAATACCTGAGACTGGGTAATTTATAAAGAAAAGAGATTTAATTGACTCACAGTTCCACAGGACTAGGGAGGCCTTGGGAAACTTACAGCTGTGGCGGAAGGCACCTCTTCACAGGGCAGCAGGAGAGAGAATGAGTGCTCAGCAAAGGGGGAAGAGCCCCATATAAAACCCTTAGGTCTCATGAGAACTCACTTACTATCATGAGAACAGTGTGAGGTAATCTGTCCCCATGATTTAATTATCTTCACCTGATCCTACCCTTGACATGCGGGGATTATTACAATTCAAGGTGAGATTTTGGTAGTGACACAGAGCCAAACTATATCACCATCTCATCTCATTGTTTCCTGCCCTTGGACTGGGATTTAGATAAACTCCCCTCAGTCTCAGTTCTTCAGATTTGGATTGAATTATACCACCAGCTTTCTTGGGACTCTGGCTTGCCGGCAGACAGCAGATTGTGGGACTTTTCAGCTTCCATAATTACCTGAGCCAGTTTCTCATAATAATACATATTTTTGGAAAACTCTAATATAGATTTTGGTACTGAGACTGCCTCTAAAGGAACATATTAAGGATGAGTTTTCTGAATTCATTCCAAGGTTTATGGAACTGGCTCTCTAATCTGATTAGATTTAAAGATACTGGACTCTATTTCCAGTAGTAAAGAGTGCAGGGATAGTCAGTGGCATGATCTGGCAATAGAGATATGCAAAATACCTGCACTATATGCTTCCAGTGAGCCACTAATAAGAAGTAAGGAGGTGGGAGACTTTGTATACGGTATTTTTGAAAGTTTCTGGAAAACTAATGCATATAACGACATAGACTGGTTTGTCCTAATGTCATTGGAAAAGTTGCACCAAAAAAGAATGAGCTCAGGGATTCAAATTCTCAGCCGTATAAATAATCAAATAGCTTCTATGGGTACCCTGAAAAAGACGCTTATCTCCTGTAGCCACAGGACTGAAACTGCTAAAAATTAAACACAAAACCTCATTCTGCAACTGGCTAAATTACAATGAAGTTGACTTTCCAGCTTTGCAGGATTTCTACACTAAAGTGAGGGCATCAATTGGAAAGAATGGGATTCTGTAAATTAAAGATAAAGACATGAGCAAAGATCCTGATGAAGCTGGAGACATTGAGTCCCTAAATTCTGATGAGTCTTCTTTGCCAGTGGAAGAAGTCTTCCAACCCCCACTGAAAGCGGCCTCCCCAGCCCCAGTGGAACTAATTCCCTAACCCCTGGCAAAGTGGCCTCCCAGCCCTCCATGACAGTGGCATCCTCACCCCCAGTTGTATTGGGCTTTCCATCCTTATCTGAGGGGTTAACCCTGCATTACCTGACAAAATGGTAATAGTCTCTCTGAAGCATTGCTATGCAAGACAATGCTGTTTCTTCTCAGGGCCCATCCGAACCATCCCTCTTTCCTTTTAGACCTATAACTAGACTCTAGTTTTAGCAGGCCTCTGAACGTGAGGTACAACATATGACCCATGAGGATGTGCATCACACTCTAAAAGAACCACTTTTGTTTTCTAACTTATGCAGACAAAAATCCAGGGAATATGGTGAGAATGGATATGAAGCATGTGGGATGATGGTAGAATCAGTGTACAGTTGGATCAGGCTGAATTTATTGACATGGGCTCGCTATGCAGAGATTCTGCATTTAGTGTCGCAGCTTAAGGAGTTAGAAAAGGCTCTAAAAGTTTCTTTGGTTGGTTGACTGAATCATGGACCACAAGATGGCCCACAGAGAGTGAACTGGAAATGTCAGACATTCCTTGGTTTAATGTAGAAGAAGGGATTCAAAGGCTTAGGGAGGTTGAAATGTTAGAATGGATTTGTCGTGTAAGACCTACTCACTTACACTGGTGGTGTCCAGAAGACATACCTTTCGCCAGTACTGTGAGAAATAAATTTGTGAGAGCAGCACTGGCATCTTTGAAGGGCTCCGTAATTTCTCTTTTCTGTAGGCCAGGCCTTATTTTGGGATCTGCAGTCACTGAATTAAGAAACCTACAGACAATGAGGGTAATAAAATCTGGAGTGACAGGGACCAAGTGGCAGAACTCAACCACCAAGAGCAAAGTAGATGTGGTAACCTTAATAGAGAGCAGAGTCAAAGCATCCATCAGAATAGTGTGACTCATGTAGATATATATAACATTGGCTACTTAATCATGATGTTCTTATAAATGAAATAGATAGGAAGCCTACTAAATTCTTACCTGACATATGTAAGCAAAAATTTTCAGGTTAAGCAAACAAAAGTTTAACTTGAATCTTAAAAACAGAGAATCATGGGCCTCAATCAATTCCCAGATTTGAGCCAGTTTACAAAGTCAGAGCCCCTTGAATGAAGGGAATGCTTGGCCCCCTTGAGGATGTACTTAGTATACCATCAAAAACATACACTGGTAATGTTTCTCTCATTCTTCCCCGAAGGAACCTCCAGCCTTTTACCAGGGTAGTTGTGCAATGGGGAAAAGGAAATCATCAGACCTTCTGGGGAAGGAGATATTGATATTGATTTGAGAGCCTTGAAAGATCACTGTGGTCCTTTAGTTAGAGTATGTCCTAATGGAAGTCAGGTGTTCGATGGAGTTTAGCTCAGGTTTAAATCACAATGGGTCCATTTCGTCACTGAACCCATCCCGTGGTTATTTCCCCAGTTCCAGAATGCATAATTGGCATATACATAATTAATAGCTGGAGGAAGCTCCACATTGGTTCCCTAACCTATGGAATGAAGACCTGGTAAGAAAGGCCATTGGAACTTCCTCTACCTAGGAAAATACTAAACCAAAAGTAATACCACATACCTGGAGGGATTAGAAAAATTAGTGCCAATATAAAGAAGAAAGATACAGTGGATGGTGATTCTCACCATATACCTGTTCAACTCTCCTATTTGGCCCGTGCAGAAGACAGACGGCTCTTGTAGAATGACAGTGGATTATCTTAAGCTTAATTAGGTCATTACTTCAATTCCGCTGCTGTACCAGATGTGGTTTGATTGCTTGAGCAAACTAACACATCTCCTGGTAACTGGTATACAGCTATTAATCTGACAAATGACTTTTTTCTCCATACCTGCCTATAAGGCCCACCAGAAGCAGTTTGTTTTCAGCTGGCAAGGACAGCAATACACCTTCACTCTCCCACTTCAGGGTTATATCAACTCTCCAGCTGTGTGTCATAATTTAGTTTCCAGAAATCTTGATCACCTTTCCCTTCCACAAAATGTTACACTGGTCCATTACTTTGATGACATTATATTGATTGAACATAATGAGCCAAAAGTAGCAACCACTCTCTACTTATTGGTAAGACATTTGTGTATCAGTGGGTGGGAAATAAATTGGACTAAAATTCAGAGCCGTTCTATCTCAGTAAGCTTTCTAGGGGTCCAGTGGAGTGGAGCGTGTCAAGATATTCCTTCCAAGGTGAAGGATAAATTATTGCATTTGGCCCCTTCTATGACCAAGAAAGAGGCACAAGGCCTAGTGGGTCTATTTGGATTCTGCAGACAACGTATTGGGATATGTTGCTCTAGCCCATTTATCCAGCAACCCAAAAAGCTTCTAGTTTTGAGTGGGGCCTAGAACAAGAAAAGACACTGAAACAGGTCCAGGCTGCTGTTCAAGCTGTACTACCACTTGGGCAGCATGATCCAGCCAGTGTCCTTACGGAACAGGTCCTTTCCATTGTAATTTACATGAATAATACAGACATAATCAATTGCAGTTTGTTTCCAGAGTTCATGATCCCCAAAATGGGTGCCTTCAATCTACCAATATGTAGTATTCCAAATAGCAGACCAAACAGCTAGGACATTAGCAACAACCTAAGAATAAGTAAAAATAGGACACAGTTGGGTTTCAGGTTAGCTGAACCATCAGGGAAAGAGGCACGGACACACAAGAAAAATCTTGAGTTGAAGGTCCCATTGAGCCAGCAGCTTTGCTGTAAATGGCAAAGTGATGAATAAAGGTTTCCCCAGAGTGATAGCAGCTACTTTTTATGTTAAGACAAGGTGCTGCTGGCAGTGGGATAGCTGCATTCTTGAATATACTATTTCCACTTACCAAGCAGGGATTGTCAGGCCCTCTCCATCTTATTAATCATTGAGTCTGAGTCAACCCACCCAAAATGAAAATATCAGGCTGGAGAGTCTCAAGACTTTTATGGGTCAGGTATTTTGTTTTGAAGGAGCATAGTAGCAAGCCAAAAAGGCTTTACATCAAAGTGATTTAACAGCTGTGTCAAGGAGGTGATGAGTCCAGACCTCAACAAAGACTTCTGGGTGAAGGCTGACCCCCTTTATCAGAGGCTCCAATCACCAAGACTATCAGACATGGAAACTTGTATCTCAGAAAGGTCATGAGGGTTGTGGGGCCCCTTTGGTGCTTGCATTTATCTACTTACTGCTGTTACTGATCAGGAGAATTTTCCACCACTTCCTGGATAAGGCAGTGTGAGCACCTCAATTTCTAATGTATATTCAGACATGGATATGACAAAAAATAATACACTGTATTGGCCAAAAAGACCACAAACAGAAGGTCACACTTGTCTCCTTTCCCTACTCTAATTTCTGACCAAACTCTATTAATGGAAAGTTTGTGTGTCCCATTCTGACAAGGGCCCTGGGTGTCAGTATACAACAGAGGCATAAAATTATGATTCCCTCCCCTCCCCAAAATCTCTGCCCCCAGCTATACTTGGGCAGTTGCTTTTGGCCTTTGATTCCACTTGGAGGCAGGGAGAGCCTGACCTCACCTCTAATCATTTATCTCCTTAAAGTAGCTGAGATCAGAGTAGAGAGAGAGGGATGGGTTAGGTGTAAGATGTAGAGAGTAGCTTTCCACCAATAAGGGAGGAGCACTTACTTTTAGTTATGAGCACACAGAGGCAGCTCAACCAAATGAACTTGCAGTGTATTCAACCTGCCCAACACTCTAATAGGTGGCAGATTGCTCATAACTGACACCATCTGTTTCAGCTTTGGGGGTCCCTTGACCAAGCAGCCATAGCAGCATTGTATTCCGACTGTGGGCATGGATTTCTACCCATCACCTGACATGGGATTGACTGGCACAGGGATAATTTTTTAAAAAGGGATGCACCTTAATCTGAGACATTTGGTGCCTCATTATCAAGCAAATATACTTAAGTTCTTGTCCAATTTAAATGCAAGTGCTATAGGAGTTTTCCAAGGCTACAGGTCTGACCTCAGCAATTTATCTACACTGTCAGTCTCTCATTCTCCAGTGAGTCGCTTTCATCAGTGTTGCATACCCAATTCAGGGGCATTAAAAGCCCAAAGATTAGTCAACGCCTGTATTTGTTTGTTAGGGTTTCCTTGATAATGAACCATAATGCCTGGGTGACTTAAATAACAGAAATTTATTGTTTCTTAGTTCTGGAGGCTGCAAGTCCAAGATCAAGGTGTCACCATCATTGGTTGCTTCTGGGGGCTGTTGAGAAAGAACGTGTTCCATGCCTCCCACCTAGCATCTAAAGGTTTGCTGAACATCTTTAGTATTTCTGGGTATATCTACGTAACACTGACTCTCTGCCTTCATCTTTACATGATGTTTTTCCTGTGTGTCTCTATGTTCAAATTTCTCCTTTGTATAAGGACACCAGGTATATTGCATTAGTGGCCCACCCTGCTCTAGTATGACCTCATCTTAACTTACCTCATTATATTTGCCATGACCCTATTCCACATAAAGACACACTCTAAGGTACTTGAGGCTATGACTTCTGTGGGGACAGTTGAAAACATAACAATGCCTTATGTATGCTTTCCTGTGGAAGTTTGTCAGCTCCAGAGAAATCTCTCCAAAAGGGACAAAACTCCCATTGGAGCCAGGACCTACTGAAAAACACTCTGAGACCTTTAACTGTCATCTCTGAAAGAATCCAAGGTTGGCATGAAAGACTGCAAGAAGGGCTCAGCCGTAAGGCTTCCCAGCTGTTGCCATTCTTCCTCAACAAGTGTTATGCATCTATTGCCCTCATCTCTCAAATGAACTAGCCAAGTTCTAATCGCTTACTCAGTTTCTGCTCATAGGGGCCATATATTTTCTTCTTTGTGGTCAGTGTAAATGTACACTGTGTTAGTCAAAGGATACAAAATTTCACTTAGGAGAAATAAATTTAGGAGATCTATTGTGCAATATGGTGACTATAGTTAATAACAATGTACCTCATATTGGAAAATTGCTACAAGAGCAGATTTTAAATGTTCTCTCCAAAAAAAAGTGTGTGAGGCAATGGATATGTAAATTAGCTTGACTTAGCCTTTCCACAATGTATACATATATCAACAGATCATGTTGTTTATCAAAAATATGTACAATTTTTATTTGTCCATTTAAAACAATTACTTGACTAATTTTTGTTTTTAAAATGGATATATCTGTAACTCTTGTCTGAAGAAGGTCAGAACCTTCCTCTAACCCAGGATGGTTATATGTTATGACCTGTAAGAATTTTCCAGGGCTACAGGTCTAACCTCAATCATTTATCTCATTGACTTGAGGCTTGAGGAGTAGACTTGAGGCTGACACCCAGTGGAGGAAGAATCTGCTCACCCAGTGAGAGTTAACAACCAAGCCACTGTTTAGGCCACTGCTTTTGAACCTACTTTCTGATGCTTGAGATGCAATGTTTTCTGAATTCATTCTCAATAGCAGGTGATAAAATTGGGGACCATTTCTCACTCTGCTGATTTATAATTTGGTTACCACATTTGCCATCGATTCCCATGAACTTTTTCCTCCAATCCCATTAATCAGCTCACAATACCCTTACTCTTCTCTTCCAGGAAGCCAAGTTTCTGTCAGCATCCCAACCTCATTTCCAAACTGTCAATAATTGTGAAGGGTCTGAGATTTTACTCTACTTGCAAGTTAAACAGCTAGACTGCCACAATTTCATGGATGCTGGCAGAAGACGTGACTCCTGGGTCAGAGAAAGGGAACTTCACTGACTCACACAACTATAGCACCTGACCAAGGGTATCAGCGTTATCTTGCACTGGTTCACTGGGTCACACACAGCAATGTGAAAACAAATAAACTACACCTGCACACAGTGAGTTGCACGCCAGAAGATACATCCTGAGTTTAGGAACACAAATCTTTTATAATGGGCAGTAAGCCTGGCGGCTCTTTGTTCTTGGGAGAGACATTATCTCTGTCTTCTAAGGCTGCTTGCTATACAGACATCTTTGAAAAGATAATATTAAACAAAGGCAGTAGGTACCCCTGCCCTCTATAACATTCAGGAGATCGATAGAAAACTGTCTCCCAACAGAGTGCAATGGAGACACATTTATCCCCCAGTTTCTGTTATAAGCCACTACACTTGGATAAGCCAAGCACAGTTTTATTTCTACGGTTGGTGTTTTCTAAAAAGTTTGACTTTATATATGATTTGAAAAACTGAGACTTTTTAATTTTGTTTTTTATAAATAGAAATAAATTTTTTTTTAATTTAGGTTTTAAAACAATTGTGATTTTATGTATAATATGAGTTTTGTTGGAAATAGGAGCTTTAGAAATAAATGTATTTTGATTATGTTAGTACACTATTTAACAATAACTTTTTGAAAAGGGATTTGAATACATTGACCTGTACAGAGCAAATGCCTGACATAATAGTTGTTAATCCTGGTTTTCCACACTGTTACGTTGGAAGTTTTCTCTCTCTTTAGTAGCAAGACCTACATCAAAGCAAATATATTCGTATAACTTGGGACAATGGTGTTTTTCCTTGATATAAAGTTCATTTTTCTTTTTAAACATAACTCATTTTAAATTTTAAGAAGATTTTTATTTAAACACTTTTATTACAATATTTAGGTGGCACAATAACTAACAAGCTTCTGAGACAGGAGGTAACATTCTCATAGACTTTGCAACTCAGCCAGAAGTAAAACTCGAAATAAATATGTCATTTAAAGTAACTATGAAGGTAATAATAAAAGGAGTGTTGTTAGTACTAAGAAGGTTTTCAATGCAGGGTCCAATAGCTATATTTACATATACAGAAAAAATGAAATTAGTTACTAAACATAACAAAAAAAACTTGGTATACCTATAGCAATGCATATTTACCAAAAACTGGTGAAAAATATATTGAGAGATATGTTAAATATTTGCTGAAAAGAAAACTACTTGTCTGTATGTGAAACCCCATGAATCATTTTACACATCAGGACCAAAAAACTAACTCCTTTTATTCCTCAAAAATCAAAAGTGGTCTCATCTAACCCAAAAATCACAGACTTGTCAGTTATTGTCTTCTCATTTTGAACATTATTTACTATTTTTTCTCTCTAAACAGTAAGTTCTTAGTCAAAATTTATTATTTTGTCCCATCTAGACAATATGGTCTATGGTACTTCACTAGGGTGGTCTAGGAGTAGATTCTAGGGAGTTCCCCAAGCTCTGGCAGTACATGTGTCTTGTATGGGGCCATATGCACATTTTTGGAGGGGTGATAGTCTATGTCTTTTATCCATTTCTCAAAGCAATAAAAGTGAAGACCCACTAGCCAACTGTAGCAGTTTCCCAAGTAAAATATAAAGATGATTCACTGGGGTAGGTGAAGAAAATACTAGAATTTCTATTTATATTCATGCTCATTTAGAAAAGAAAAGCTGTCCTAATATGTAGTATATGGATTGAGAGCAGCATGTATCAGTCTATAGAGTTGTTGTCCTACAATATTTTATTAACAGATTGCAGGAATCTAAAAGGTTGGAGAATAGTGCTCTAGGGCAGTGAACATCAAGTTCTCATATTTTCCAAAACATCTTTAATTTACATGTGCAAGGAGGTGAAGGAATAGTAAATTCTCAAATACTAATACATTTTCATTCACTTCAATGTTATAAGATACAACTTATTCAGGGAAGACGGCAGCTCACTGTGATTAAGCAGTGTCTGGATGCTGCACATCCCTGTATCACTGGGAATGATTATTTCTAAAGGCCCAGAATTCCCAGACCACTGTTGCCATAACTTTCCAAAGAGCTTCAGTTTTGCTGCTCTTGTTCCAGGTGTATAATACTTAACACATTGGGCTGTCCAACTTCTGTAATAGCATTTTTGTTTTGCTTTGTTTTGTTTTCACTTTCTCTGAAACTACCTCATAGCTCTTTCCTCAATACAGATGGATTTGGCAGCATTTCAGATGGAACAAACATCTGAGCAGATACTTCAAGATTTGGGCATTATGCAAAGTCATTTTCAGCCAAGTAATTTTCCTCACAATCTGGAAGGCTCATTTGTGATTTAATTTTCTGACATTATATAATTTAAAAAATTAAAAAACTTGACAGGCAGCCACAACCTTATCTAAATATCTTCTACCAGAATATCTGAGATTAAGTCCTGGATATGACATTTAAATTTTGTCCTGATTTCTACCCCAATGTTTAAATCCAAGATATTAACATTTTCATAAAACTAAGTTTATGATGATGGAAAAAACTGCACTGGTGATAAAAGAAGTGTGGCTTTTAGAATATCACTTTTTTTTCCTTTTGCTTAGGTTTTTCTGATTGAAATCTACACATTGATAAAACTTTTGCTACTATTTTGGCAGATACTATATATGAAAATAAATGGACATAAATAAGGTAATGGGATAGCTTTGGATGAAAAATGTGTAGGTTATGTGGGCTAGTCAAAACAGATGCAGGTGTGGCTGTAATAAGCAAAGCTGCTTCAAGGGAAGTACAGATGGCAATCAAATGTACAGTGATTACTGCAGCTTAAAATAAGAATACTGAATGAGTGCACATCATCAATATAATAAAAGAAACATTTAAAGAGGAGCAACAGTTCATCAAAGATCTACTAGCTGACGTGCTAAGAACAGAAGAAAACTAAACTCAACAAAGATGACAAAGGATTAATTGGCTCCGTTACTGTAAGCTTATGGCTTTCAGTAATTGATTCTTCCCCTTTTCACTAAAGGATACAAATATTTCCCAGGTCTTGAAAAGTATCATAACAGAGACCATAAACTCTAACACTCAATTTTGGTTGAAAATGACATTTTGGTTTTCTCTGCTTAATAAGTTAAGCAGTCACTGCTTTTAGCCTGTGTTTTAACAAGAGAACTGCACTTTGCTACCGTCTCTGCAGCACTGAATTTCTGTTTTGGAGGAGACGGTAAGTCCCTCCTCACAGGAATCGCAAGGCGTCTCTGCCCTCCCACCTCTCATATATGCTGTGTTCTCCATCCCTGCACCCTTAAAGACAGTCTTCATTTAACTGTCCAAGTACAACCACCTAAAGAGTGAAATTGCATTGAAGTGCAAAATGAGGTGAAATAAATGATCCATGTTTTACTGTTCAGTGAAAGGTAGTGATCTGACAAGCTCCTCAACAAATATGTATCAAAGATTCAATTTTACTTATTAAAATGATTTACATGGGTCAAACCCATGCACCTAAAACCACTGCAGTAATTCGTTAACCCATTCTGCTTTGGGCGACTAACATTTGCATCAACAAGGGCTTGATTGTGGATTTAAAGCATTATACAGCACTAGACTTCACTGGAGCTTTGCATGTAAAGCTCCATCTGGGCAGTTTTCCAGCTGGGTAATCTCAGAGGACTGATGTCTATTCCTCAGGCACTAGTTAGACTAGACACTCTTGTTTATTCATCTCTTTCATTTGCTAGGCCTACCACAGACCACCCTCTTCCATCCTATGCCTTCTTTTAACCTAACCTGAGACAGAGCTGGGAAGTCTTTGCCTTGGCGTGGCTGGAAATATCAGGGAGAAGAAATTTGGAAGAAATGTTAGTCAAAATGCTGAAGCAACTCTTCTTTCCTCCCTACCAAAGGATCTGAAAGACTAATTAGCCTTGAGAGTGACATAAAATTCCAATGCCAGACATCCCAGCTTTATGCTCATACTTATGGTAAAATATCCAGGATATAAAATGAATCATTTTCCCTTGATGTATAAACAGATGTTCATTCAGTCACCTGTGCAAGTAAATATCCACCCTATCCTTAACCATGCTGTTTCTAATAGTCTTTGGAAAACACACATCTGATCATACCATTCTCTTCCTTTAAGACTTGATGCTTCTCTTATCTAGTAGCTTTAAAACTGTTGGAGAGGGAGTCAGTAGCCAATGGATCTAATTTTACTCATGTTGCTTCTTTTTTTTTTTTCTTTTGTAAAATCTATTTTGAACAAGTGCCTCAAGTGAATAATAATGGCTCTTATTGTAGTTATTAATATTACTATTATGGTAATGTTGATAACTACTTAAGGTCATGTAAAGCTGTGTCATGTGTAGTTAATTACTATATATTAATATTACAATAGCAATATGAATAACTATCATGGCACACCTTTACATGACACACATACCCCTTCGTGATTTTTGCCCAGATGGTCTTTTGTCCTTATTCTCCTCCCTCCCAACTCATCCCAGGTAACTGGCTGTCCAGAATGTACTATGCACCCTCAAGACCCCATCTCTTTGTGTGCTGATTTATTTTCCTGGACCATGTCCTTCCCCTTCTCTGCTTGATGAACTCTAAGACCAAAAGACTTCTCTAAGAACTGAGTCCCCTACTTTGTGCTCCCACAGAATGTTGTAATTATGTCTTACATTTGTCTTTCACTTTCCTTTCTTGATAGATTGGGCCATATTTTATCCTTAAATTTCAAAAATATAGCAATATTCCTGGCACATAGTAGGCATTCAATAAATTCTTCATGAATGAATAAATGAAAATGAGTAAATGAATCTATTCTTATTTAGGTTTTCTTAAATATACGCTTTGCATTTTCCTACAAAGTCTAGATCGATATAGAAAAACAAAGCAAAATGGAAAGAAACATTTTAATTCTGTATTTCCCTTTGCTTCTTGATGCAAAGCATCTTTAGAAAAGTTCAGTATAACTCTGTGCTTGCCTGAGAAATATGTATAAGGAGATAATTTATATAGTGTACTCGACACAAAAAACAACAGGACAAGAAGCCATGAATGGAAACTATATAACCAGAACAGAAAGAATAGCTCCTGCATTTTCAGGAGAAACAGTCTGTTAGGGAAGCAGTCTTGAGACCCAGTCTTATTTTTTAGAATAGTTAAATGGCAACATAACTCAGTACCCGTAATCCCCAACCTGATTACAGGCTGTTTGTCCACTATTTTTCCATCTTCAATACCTCAAAGCTCTGACTTGGGCCCCTTATTTATTTTAAGAATCTATGCTCCAGGGTCTCTACTCTGGCTACCATCAGTGGTCTGGATCTGAAAAGTTTCTCGCTAATCGCTATGCTTCAAAGCAGATAAGATAGAGAAAAAAAGATATTCCTTAAATTTTTTAGCATCTAAATTGTGAATTTCGTATGGACTCTGTCATGGAAATGTATGTTCATCCTCTTTGAAGATCCACAAATTATTCTGTATTTAATGGGCCTTTGTAGGCTGGTCTGGGGAACCTATCACAGATGATTTAACTTCACTGTGAAAATATGTTTTTTGGTAATTTTTTATTTAGATATAATGCCACGTTTATAGAAAAGTTGCAGGAATCGTACAAAAAACTCCCATACAACTTTTCACCAAGATTATATACATTCCCCTCATTTGTTTTGTGTATATGCTAATACATCACAAACACACAAAATACTTTTTGAATTCTGATTGAATTATAAACTTTTTGAGTACAGATTGTAAGCAAATTGAGGTCTGCTGAAATGTTTGATCAAGACTACATTCCATTTCATGCTTTTACATTTTCTTTATTTCTATTATTTCCCCATAATAAGAGTTCGGTTCCAGAAAGAAAAATGTATTTACATTTTTTTTCCTTGTAAGTAGTGACTTAACTTCATATATTTGTGAGGATGTAACTATACTTTCTCAAGGCCTATGGCACTTTCCAATAATAGGCTGAGTGGTTTATTGAGTCAAAGTCAGTCCTGTAAGATACGGGGTTATCACTTAGTAAACAGCATCATTGTAATATCTATAGTAGTACCCTTGGAATACTAGAGGCCAATCAGTAATGAATATCCCTGATGTCACCATGGGCTAGCCTGGGTACTAAGGGAGGCAGTTAAAGAAGTTTTAAACTGAGTTATTTCTCAGAACCCCAAATAAGAGCTCAGCCTATCTATGGCTCTGCTAATATTGATTTTAAAACTATAACGTTCATCTTTTTCTTGCTTTAAATTCAAGCTGTTTTTAAAATCAAATCTTTATCCCCAACCAAAATGTAGATTTTTTAGTTCACCAGAGAACTTCAACTGACCTAACTAAAACTAAAAGTTCCTAGCTGCTTAAATGTTTATGTAAAACAAAAAGAAAAAGTTGAAGTTCCGGAAAAAATACTTAGACATTTCCATAATGTAGTCACTGCCTCATTTGCTTCATCAATACTAACAGTCGTTTTTTTTAAGTCAAGATATTTCAAGTAGAATAAAAACACTTCATATATGTATATTTAATGAGACAAAAACTTGATTCTTAGTTCATAGACATACACCAAAATGTTCAGCACAAATACTCAAGAAAAATGAGATATCCACCAAAAGAACAAGTCTTATTTTCTACTTCCATACTTAGATTTTCTTCTTAAAACTTTAAACAGCTCAGCATGGCAATAGAAGATGTCTGCTGAAGTGGGTCCATATTGTTCCAAGTGTGCCTGCACGTGTGTTTACGTGTGTAAATGTTTTACCAATGTCCTTTATGGTGGGTCCCCTGGATGATTACTTTACTCCCATGTTGCTTCCAGCTAAATTAGATTTGAATAGTATTACTGCATTTTAATAGAAGATATAAACCTCTTTTATTCTGAATACTTTGCTATTATGATAGTAAAATGAATTAATAGGAATTAAATTGCTAACATGGATTAAAATAGCTTTTACCATTGTAGAATTTTAAAAAAGTCAAACAAAAGAAATATTTATTATTATAACACACGTTACTATGGAGAGTATTTTTAACTTCCAGAACTAAAAATAATATTTGGTATTTACAGAACTATTTTATATTCATATTGCATCTAACCCCTAATTGCTTATTTTCTAAAAAGAAAAAAAGAAGAAAGTGCAATAGAGAAAAAAAGTCAGCCTATATTCAAACATATACTAACAGTTAAATGAGAAAATGCAATAAAATGCAGAGTTGAAAGTTTGAAAGAACTGAGGGTGTCAAAGAATGTAATTTCTATTCAAAAACCTTTTTTTTGACGACACTATCACAAACACACTTTAATAACCATGGCATTCCACCAGGATATGAGATTGCAGGTGACTCCATCAGTTTGTACAATTGACTACAATTATCTGATATATGTACAAGGTGCTGAATTTTGAGTACAGGTAGTAAGTGCTGGTTATATAATAGAAATACTCCCACAAAAGTAGCTTTTTAAGGTTTTTTTTTTTTTTCTTGAAGAGCTGAAGTACTGAAGTGAGTACATACATTTTGTCATGTTAAACAGGAGAAAGATTGTGACTTGGCTCCTGAAATTTTAATACTGCTTGTTAGCCATCTACAATCCCTAAAGTGCTTTCAGAGGCTCTACACATCTTCAATGAGTCAAACCCCAAAGACTTATAAATAGGTATATAGGTTGCTAATCTATTCCTGATGCTTTGCCTAAAAAATTGGCATTGCCATCTTCCACATCTTTCTTTTGGAAGCATGGTTTTGAGTTTGTTCCTTGTTGGTAAGCATCCAGAAAATGGCAGATTCCGGGGATTTCACTAGGGAAGTTTGGTGGAAGTTCCTCCCTTGATCGAGGGGTAAACACGAAACCAGGACAGTCTTTGAGTAATCTGAAAATATTAAAATATAATACTGACATAAATGTTTGTCCACTCAAAAAAAGAACACAACATAACTAACTGAATGTTACTGAGAATATTTATAAACCAGTGATTTTAGGTGTGAGTGACAGAAAAAGTCTAACGAGATTAACAGACATCTTCCCAGAAGTACAATGAAGAATCAATTCACAACAAGAAAATTGTGTCAATTAATGTATTTCACTTACACTGGAAAAAATTATAAAATATTTTTGCAAAAATAATATCCACACAACAGTGCAATTTGCAGTAGTGAAAAAATAATCCAAAGATTTAATAGTAGCAAAGTATTCACACATAACCATAACAGTATTAAGATTTCCTGAGTTGAAAGAGGTAAGATGTCCATTTATCAATTCATTAATTTTGTAAATATTATGCTAATTGTGGGCATAAAACGTAATCATGGGCAAGAAATAGTGAACCAAAATTACAATGACAAAAATGATGTGAGAACAACTTTTGAATCTTTCAATAGAATTTTTATGAATTCTAGATTAGTAGGACTCAAATGAGATTTAATTGTACATATCACCACTCTACTTACTAATTGTTATTAGCAATATTTTTTCTCCTGAAATTCATCTGTTTACCACATTATATTGTTTGCTATTTTACTACTTGTTCATTATGCTAAACCTATTTCAAATTCTAATCTTACTGATTAAGCTATTGGCATCTCTTTCCATTTGCTTCCCTAGCTTTCCATCAAATGAGAACTTAATAAGCCTTCTCTCTAACCTAATATTCAGGCCATAGATGAAAAATGTTGCATGGCTGTGGGTTCTCAACCAATTTCTACAGAAAAGCATTTATTATATTTACCCAAACAGACCATGGTCTTCTACTCACTAGTCTGTAATGTCATGTCTACATTAAATAGAATGATGATGTTGAATTAGATTTTGGTACTGTGACAACATCTATGTATTGAAGAAACCAACTGAATAGAAATCTGTCTCAAGAATGACAGTTTAATTTTCATCAGTACATCAATAAATATGTAATCTGCTAAACAATAAAACTAATGAAAATGATGCCTTAGTCATGAATTTATAAATATTTTTGAGTGACTATTATTTGAGAATACATAATGAAAAGGTATAGAATTAGACAGTATTAAAAGTATAAGCTTCAAAGTCTGATAGCTCTAGCAGCACAGATGTCCATTATCCAGCCTTTAAAATGGGGATAATAATAGTACATATTCCTTAGGACAGTTGTGAAAATTGAATAAATCAATTTTTAAAAACTGACTAAGCATCAATTAGAAATCACACCACACCTATCATATTGGTAACAGTAAGTCTGACAATATCACCTTGGAGAATAGCACACTTCATACACTACTGGTGGAGCATAGATTGGTAAAATCATTTTGAACAGCTAATTAATGCTTGGTAAAGTTGAAACTGGGTATAGCCTATGGTCTGGGAATACCATTTTTAGTTATATTATCTAAAGACATATGTATAAAGATACCTATTGAATCACTTTTTGTAATAATGAAAAATTGGACACACTCTAATTACCCACAGGTAGAAGATAGAGTCTGGCTCATTCATACTCTAGAATACACATTATATCACATGCACATATAGTAACATGCTAGATCTGGTTCATACTGGCTTGTGAGAGCCAATTGTTAAAATTCAGGAACTTTGTAAGACAGTTAAGCCATCCATAGCCTGAAACCTGCCAGAGTGGACATAGTAACACCACAGAAATTGGCAAATGCTGGAATCATGGATTCTCTACCTCATCCTCCAAAGCTGGTTTACCAGCAAACCACTCCATTAGCAATAGTTAAAATGAATAATCTAGATTTATGACTAGATTTACATTTTATCAAGGAAACTATCTCAGAAACATAATACTGAGTGGATTCAAGGCAAGTCTTAAAAGGATATGGATATGTTCACTGGGAATCTATTTTCCTCTGGCTTTATTTTTCTATCTGGCAGGACCTAAATGAAAGTGATATTCCTGCCTCTCTCTACCCATTTTCCTTCCTGGAAAGCAGAAGTGACATCTTATTGATGAGTTGTGGAGAAGCTGCTGAACATGCATCTGTATTTGGGAGACTGTCTGCAGAGAGTACATATTCTCAGCTCCTACAAGCTATAAAGCACTTAGGATCCATTGTGTCAGAGCGTGTAACAGGGACCATGTAAGAGTTTCTATTTATATTTTATTATATTAATATCTATTTACTTTACATTTTATTTTTTTATAAAACAGAAACCTGAAAGAAATATGGCAAAATGTTGATACTTAAATATTAGTATTGGCTACATGAGTGTCATCTTGTTTGCTTTGTTTTTTTATATGTTTAAAAATTAAATACAAAAATGTATGCAACTATAAGAGTCTAATAAATAAAAATGTATAAAACTATAGGTGATTAAAAAAATTTATCTATTATTTTTTCTATCTACAGCAACTCAACATTTCCTACTAAATACGGTAATGACAATTATAATCTCCTATTTAAATGTATTATATACATATATTCAGCCTTTAGAAGTGGCTTTAAAGTGCATCATTTGAATTTATTAAGGGCATTGCTCTAGATTGCACGTCTGGTAAGTGCTGTTTGTGGGACTCTAAGGCATGTCTTCTGAATACAACTTCTATGCTTTTTAAAGACACTTAACAGACAAACATAATTAGAATGCTATGGAGTTTGAAATGTTCATTATATTGTCTTTTTAAAAAATCAGAATATATAAGAAAAACCATTTAGAAAAACAAACCATTTCGATGAAAGCTTGATGATAGCAACACCCAAAAAAGGCAGCAACAGCCCAGATGTCCTCATAGGTGGACATTTTTCTCTACACCTTCTTCACCAGACACCATTTTTCCGCAAATTACTGCATCAATGCTCCAATTCTCTGTTATCTTTCCTATATTCCTTTATTCACTTTGTTCCTTCTTCTTACAGAAGTCAATTCTTGCTTCTCTAGCACAATGTGCTCAGACTTGTCCTACAAATAAGAGATTCTAGGCCTGTTTACCCCACAAACTGGACAGCATCCATGTATCCTCCCCACTTGCCATTTTTGTTTCTAATGATCCCTGGATCACCACATAATCCTCTAACATTGACCCACTGACCTGGAACTAATGTAGTAGACCTGGATCCACTGACTCACTGATCTAATGTAGTCTCTACTAGTCTCTATTAGTTTTCCTTACTTCAAGAATGCAAACAAAATGTCGAATATTATCCCCTAAAATTAAAGTAAAACTCCTGACAATGTTTAAAAAACAGGAGTGTATAACTGTCATTACACTGCTACATTCTGAATCACTGATTAGAATTTGGAAGTGGAAATTTGAAGATACAGGTTTTTTTTTGGTATAGGTATGTATTCTGTGTCCTAAATTTACCTGTATTTCAGAAATATATCATGGAAGCTACATTCAATATTAAACAGATTATTTTATTATTAAAGAAATATCATTCCAGAATTTAATGTATCATCAATAAAGCTCTCCAAAGAAAACTGCATTTTGTGCTTGTACACCTTCTTTAGCAGCCGCTTCTTGTACTATAGTTTGAGTAAAACTAAAATTATGCCCCTACCGTTGACTAAATTTCCCAAAGCATTGGATGTTTAATTGAAATTTATTTATATTATTTTAAGTTTTCCCAGCATATGGAAGAAAAGTGAAGTATCTCTGAAAGAAAGGAATTTAAAATGTTGTTAAAAGTATTTAACATTAAGTATTTATATTTTGCCTAAATAAGACAGTATTAACTACTGCTTTCCCTTAGGCAAGGCATAAATATCTCATATACGAGAATAAAAAGAAAGTAAACTATTATTGAAATCAATACAAAAGGAAAAAAGCTATATCATATTTGTCTATAAAAAGTAGAAATGACTTCAGCAAATGAGCTGAAGTTCAATATAAATTAAATTAAAATTTCAATGTCATTCATGCATGTGTATATAAACGTAACTGAAACAAAGACAGAAATGTTAATAGTTACTATCTCTGGGTAATGAGATTATGACTTATTCCTATTACTTACTTTATAATTTACTAATTTTGTAAATTTTCTGAAATGGGCATGTGTTACCACAGTAATAAAAAATTTATTTAAAAGATAACACCATCTATGCTATAAAAACCTATATGTGCATTTCTAGTAACATTGCCAATACAGTGAATCTAAGACTTAAGTCATGAGCATTGTCCTGTTGTCAGAAATATATGTCAACATGTTGTGGTCCTCTGCTGAAATACATGAGATCCTGAATTATATTTTGAAGAAAAATAAGTAGCTAATATCAGTGCCCCCTAACATGACTCAAGACCACCAGACTTTGAGATACAAAATGCAAGAATTTAAAAAGTTTAGTTTCATACTGTTAAAAACAATCAATATAGAAGAAAAAGGAAAATATGCTTTTTATATGTAGCAGTTTTGTTTTAAGGTAGGATTCCTCAGTATGCACATATACACATAACACATCACTTAACATTGAAAGAGAAACACAGGTGTCAGTGAAAGGATGGGCAACTGACTCCTACTTAATAGGATGATTCCTCTTAATGCCTACAGAGAGAGTAGAATCATATTATCTCAAGGCATGGATTCTTATCCCTACCTATTATACCCAGTAGGACCATAGGCCAATTACCATTACAATGAACCCCAGGGATTTTTCCAATTCTCAGGTTATACTGAGTTGTTTTCATACCCAGGAGTCAACAGTTAACCAGTAAATACTTCTTGCTTTCCTTCTGTGTTTCACGCGCTGATCTAGGAGCTGGGAATATGGAATGTGTACCACAGGAAGCTAACATTCTAAAAAGGGAGGCAGGCAATCAACACATAAATAAATACTGCATAAGACAATTTCAGATACAGGTGTGAACTGAGAAGATGAAATAGGATAATGAGAGGGTATGTGAGGAGAAGGTTGTTGCTATAGTTATGATAGTTAAGGAGTGTCTCTTTAAAGAGAGGAGAAGAAATGATCACTGTAAGGTCGATGGTCTGAGTAACTAGGTGGATGGTGATATCATTTTAAGGTGATTGGTAAGCTTGCCTGGGTGGGAAGTGGATTTCATCAGTCTGTGTGGGAAATCACTCATTCTAATTCGGTCCAGTTCATTTTAATATGTGAATTAGTCATCCAAGTGGAAATATGGAATAGGATATATGAGTCTGTAGCTCTGCAGAGAATCACAGGATGGGCGAAAGATTTTTTTTAAAAAATAGTTAGAGTCATAAAAGTTCAGATACAGAAGATAACAGGAAAAGAGGCTCTGAGCACGGCAACAAAGGTTTGGTAGGGAAGGAGTACCAAGAGAAGACACTGAGAAGGTGTAGACATGGGGTAGTGAGAAAACTAGGTGAATGTGGTGCCAAAAATTTAAAGAAGAAAATGTTTAAATGAGGGAGTTCTCAGCCTATTCAAATGCTTCTGAGAGGATAAGGAGAGAAAACTGACAGTGATTTTATTTTAGCAGGGCACAATGATGACCTTGATAAGAACCGTTTGAGTGGAGTAAACACTGACTGGAGTGAGTTGAAGAGAAAATAAGAGGTGGAAAAAATACAGATAGTGAGTATAGACAACTTCTTTCAGTTTTGCTATAAAACAGAGCAGAAATTGAAAATTGTAGCAGAAGCCGGACTTGGAAACAAGGAATTTTTTATTTTTCAATTCAGAGCTTTAATAGATATGGTTGTATTCTGTTGGGAATAATCATTTCATCAAAGAGAAATTGATCATAGAGAGTTAATTTCCACAGAAAAGTTATTGAGAAGGTGAGAGGAAATAGCACTGAGAGTAAAACTGTATCAACCAGGGGCAGGAGGGGAGCTGGGCCAATGTAATGGGAACAAAGAAGGAGGAGATGAGTACTGGGGTAGCTCTGCTGAGAGAACCTACAGCACAAAGATGGCAAAGCTCCTGTCTGACTTCTATTCTGGTGGTGAAATATGAGGCAAGATTATCAACTGAGAGTCTGGGCTGGAAAGGAAAGGATGCTGGTGCCTTAAGAAGGGAGAAGACCAGGTGCATTGGCTCACGCCTGTAATCCTACACTTTGGGAGGCCAAGGTGGGCAGATCACTTGAGGTCAGGAGTTCGAGACCAGCCTGGCCAACACGGCAAAACCCAGTATCTACTAAAAATACAAAAATTAGCCAGACGTGGAGGCGGGCGCCTGTAATCCCACCTACTTGGGAGGCTGAGGCAGGAGAATCACTTGAAACTGGGAGGCAGAGCTTGCAGTGAGGCAAGACTGAGCTGCTGTACTCCAACCTGGGCCATAGAGCAAGACTTAGTCTCAAAAAATATAAATAAATAAATAAATAAATAAATAAATAAATAAATAAATAAATGCAGAAGAAGAAGGGAGAAGATGCTATTAAAGAGTTATCTCTGAGAATAGGAAAGCTAACTTGCTTAGTATAATTTAGCTACTGTATAGATCTGAAAAACTCTTTTGTTACTTAAGAGTTTCCAATATAATGAGACAAAATGTACATGAAAGATATATTTCTAGTTACCACGGATTGGTTTATTTTCCGGTTAAAGGTGGATAAGTGATAACAAAATGGTAGATTTTATTGACTCAGGCTGTATACTACATGTTGTCAAGGCGACAGTGAAAATAAAGGTTCTTCTGATGCTAGATGACACGTGGCTCCTCTGACCGTGTTAACACTTGCTGCCAGTCCATAAAACTGCAATCTTTGAAAAGTGCTCGATGACCAGCTAGTTTTCCTCTGGTAAATTCTTCCCTGTATGATAGGGAATTTGACTGGCTGTTGTCCTTGATTGCAGGGAGGGAGCTTCTAAAACTCTTGGATTTTTTGAGTTATAGGAGTATCTGTTTTCCATGAGGCCCTTGGATCACTTTTGAGTTTATATTAATGAGATGACTCAGAATGGGGGCAGGGCCCCAGAAAAATCAATCTTGTGGATAGAAGGTTGGGGTTTTGTGTTAGCCTAACCTCTGGGGAGGAGAGTGGGGGTGGTGACTGAGTTCAATCACATGGCCAATGATTCAACGAATCATGCCTACATAATGAAAACAATAAGACTCCATACACCAAACTCAAAGCTCAATCAGGTGGAGCTTCCTGGCTTGTGAACCCACTGAGGTGGCTGGAGGGAGATAAGTTCTGATTCTATGGAAGCTCTGCATTTGGGACCCTCCCAAACCTTACCCAAACTGTTTCTTCATTTGGTTGGTTCTGATTTGTATCCTTCGAAATAAAACTGTAATAGTAAGTATAGCAATTCCCTAAGTATTGTGAGTCATTTTAGATAATTATCTAACTTGAGAGGTTCATGGGAACCCCCAAAATTGTAGCTCAGTCGTCTAAATGCATACTTAGGTCCTGAAGGGTGGCTGGCATCTGAATTAAGGGCAGGCTTGTTGGGTTCTGTGCCCTGTAACTTGTGGTTATGACTGTGCTGAGTCTGGGTGTTTACTGCCAGAACTGCACTGCAGTGTACTAGTTGATGTCAGAACACCTATCAACATACTAAGAGTATTAATATGTGCTTCTAAAAGAAGAATGATGGAAGACTATGTAATATCTGTCATGGATTTATGGCTGGGCCACAAACACCTCAGGCAAGTCATTCTTAGGAGGCTAATAAGCAGTGTAAAAAAGTTAAAGTGAGGATGATAAAAGTTATCACGTTTCTTTTTTCCTTACGACTAAGGAAGAAAAAAGTTATGAAGAATGAATCAAATCAGTGGGGCAAATGGCAATTGTATATAAATAAAAACAAGAGATTTTAGGTGTTTAACATAATTACTACCTGTAAGTTGTTGGGCTGACATTGATTTTTCGTGGTACACTGCAGGACTCAAATTTGTTAGCCAGAGTGACATTGTTTCCAAAAAGACAGTAACGGGGCATTTTAACTCCAACGACGCCAGCAAAAACTGATCCAGAGTGCAGTCCAATTCGCATCTGAAAGCAAAAAATAACATGATGTTCCCAGTCACTGGTAAAACACTTCCTACTCGTCAGTGTCGTTTGAATACCGTCTAAATTATTTTACCATTCACCCTCAGGACACCACCCCTTTCCTCAAAACCTTCAGCCAACTTCCCTCTACTCCTCACATGCAATTAAAAATTACTAGTGCAGAATCAACAGTCACACTTCTTAACTCTTTTCCATTTAGGTTTATTACACAAACCATCTTAATTGTGTCTGTCTTCAACATCTGAAACAAGTTTCCATGCACAGGGATCATAGTAACCACAGCAACATAGCAAGGGGGATATGAGCTGTTTATGTGAAACTGCCACCTCTCATTCAAGTGAGATAGACATAATTTCTGGACTCCTGGAATCATTTTCCCAAACACTGACAAAGAAGGGCAAATGAAGCTAGCTCTAAGGATATTAAATATATCTTTTAGACATTTTACCTCAAAATAGCTTTATACCAAACACTATCCCACTGTTCTAATGACTTACAACTGAGGAAATGAAATTGTAATATTTAAGCAGAAAATGACAGAGGAAGCAGAAAGTGGAAGGTACTTGAGTCCAATGACGATGACAATGTCTATATACATGAAATTAAAAATCCATACTGATGAAAGATCAGATTTGTGCCATGCCTAGATATAAGAGGCAGTCTGGGATGTGTTGTGGCAAAATTTTAGGAATTCTGGAAGTCTCCAATGATTTGGAAAGCCACTGAGACAGAATGTTTTATTTTATTTATTTTTTAGAGACAGAGTCTTGCTCTGTCACTCAGGCTGTAGTGCAGCGGTACCATCATAGTTCACTGTAACCTCGAACCCCTGGGCCCAAATGATCCTCCCATCTCAGCCTCCTGAGTAGCTAGAACTACAGGCATGCACCATCACACCTGGATAAGTTTTAAATTTTTTGTAGAGACAAGGTCTTGCTATGTTGCCCAGCTGATTCTCAAACTCTTGGGCTCAAGTGATCCTCCTGCCTCAACTTCCCAAAGTGCTAGGATTACAAATGTAAGTCACCTTGCCTAGCCAAAGCAGGATATTTAACAATGGAATCTTCAAAGGTCTGATTACTTGATGATCTTAAAAGATTCACAAACACTTAAATTACTGCTACTACAAAACAAGCTAAAGTGGAGATATTTTAAATGATGATGATACCATGTTAATTATTTTCAAACTCTTTGTTTACTCAACCATTTTAAAAAGTTGTATTAGATGTATGCGTTTTGAATGAAGACCAAGAACTCAGTAACTTGGATATAATTTAGAAATCAGAAGAATTCAGTTATGTCTAGTTTTAATAACTAATTTCAGATATCTGCTAGAAACTTTCCAGACTCATTTACTTTTAAGATGTCATATGAGTTCTACAAAATTTTCAAACAAAAGCACTAGACTGTGAATCAGGAACTTTGTATTCTAACAAGCTCTACTAGTAACTGGTAGTCTGGCTTCCTTAAGTCTCTTTACTTCCCTCCGATCATGTTTTCACCTATAAAATGCAGGGGTTTGATTATTTTTAAAGACCTTTCTTCATCAAAGTTTTACTTTAACAAGCAAAACTTAGATGTCTGTTATATATCTGGCTTTGTCTCTTTTAGGAGAATATTAATTTACACATTTAGCAAGTGATAGATAGATAGATAGATAGATAGATAGATAGATAGATAGAATAAAGCTCTTCTGCTCATAAATATCAACTATGACTTCAGCATATTTAGATTGAGGAATTTTTGCTTTCTGTGAGCACTCTTCTGGTTAAACCAGTTTTTCTTCCTATACTTAGTTACTCCAGCTTATTATATATTAAATTTACCATAGCATTTTTATCTTGTTTCATAATTAAAATGTAAATATATTCTGCTCGTAAAAACCGAAACGATGCAGACAAGGCAAGTGTCCCTCCTAGTCCTTCCATGCCGTGCTGCCTTCCTCCCCTTCTCCAGTTTTGAATCTCTCAACCCTAACATTTTCTTACAGAGCTTTTCAAATTCATCAGCAAGATTTAAAACACAACGTGTTTAAGACACACATCGTGCCCTGAGCATATCTCTTTTCACTGGTAACAGACTTCCCTGTGAAATAATGAAAGGCAAAGGCAGAATTCTGGCTCCCGGGAAAAGTTTGAATGGGAACCTACTAAGGGCATCTTCTATTTGAGACCACTTGTGGCATAGCCCATTTCTCATCATAAGCTTCTAGGCTTAGGAAAGGAGGGGTACTAGAAGTTTGCTTCCGTGTTCACTTGTCACCTACTGACTTTCACGGTTACACTCAGCCCACTGGTCTCTGTCACCAACCCACCTGCTGCTTTCTAAGCCTGACTGGATGGATGTTAGTGAGGAAATCAATGGGAATAAATGAATAGATGAATGATTTGCACATGTGACGTGCTAAAGGAAAGCATAGAGTTTGAAAAATAAAAAAAGAAAATATTTTCTATTCTTTCACTTCAATTCTATACCAAGAGGTAGCAGGGCAAGAAGCAGAAAAAGCCTGGGCTTTGAAGTCACATGGACATGACTCCAAATACTGACACATAGGAGACTTGACTGCTCGTGTCTGCCAGTGTAGATGCCTCTTTAAAGTGTTATTATAAGGATTAAATGAGACGATGTTAAGTCACAATATGCTCCTTTCTGATACATGTTAAAGTTTCCCTACTAAAAATACTCTCCACTCTGCCTCTGTGATGTTTCACCGGTATCTTTTAGGGACGTCAGATATTTCCCAGGGCTGCAGGTTAGTATGCATAAAAAGGTATGATTAATGATTCCCTTTATAGGTCTTTTAAACTAATCTATCATTACCCAGGTAACTATCTTTGAAACTAGCTATAAATAATTCTTCCAACTTAGAAAAATCTAAAAATACATTTCTGCAAATAACAAAAATGCCATAAATTCCCCCACCCCAAACATACACATCTTAATTATAAAATGTATTTGTGTGAAAATCACTTAAAATGTTGTTAATAGTCTAGATATTTTTAACATTTACATTGATGCTACAAGCCCCCTCAAACAAATTAGAAAGAGAAAGAAATATATAGTCCTCCTCTAAAAAAATGCAATTATCGAAAATAAATCTGAAAAAGTCAGATATTGTGATGCTTTTAAAACATACTTGCAAATTATTTTACACTCCTCCTATTGATTCTTGGGCTCTGAGCCCTCTCTCTTCTGGGCAGACTTGTGATTGCTCTGGCTGATAGAGTGCAGTGGAAGTGTTGCGGTGTGTCTTCCAAGACTAAGTCATGCAGCTTCCACCAGTCTTGTTCAGTGGGACATGAACCACCTCATAAAAAATACATATTAGGGCATCACATGTAACGCTAACAATCCCAGCTGAACCCAACCTTTCAGCCATCCCCACCAAGGAATCTGACATGTAAGTGAAGCAGCAGTCTTGGAATGAATCCTCCAGCTTCAATCGTTGCAATCCCAGCTATTCCAGGCACCCTCACCCATTTCGGTATTCCCAGCTGAGGTCCCATAGATTGTAGAGCACAGACGAGGTATTCCTGCTATGACTTATCCAAATTTTTGATGCACAGAATCCACGCATAATAAAAGTTTGTGATTTTATACCATTAAATTTAGAAAAGTATGTTGCACAGAAACATATAAATGGGATGACAATAGACTTAGAAAATAGTTACGAAGGCTTAAACATATGGCTTCTATTAAGGTTAAAGAGAGTTAAGGGTAAATCTCCAAATATAGTTTTGTTTTTAAATTTCTTCTTTCTTCTCTATATGTTTTATAGCATACCGGATAAGATTTTACAATACCTCAAAGGCTTATTTCTGAAGGTAGTCAACTGAGGACTGTCCTATAAAAATTAAGGGGCAGATTCACTGTGAGACAAAGGTAATCTGCTTATATTCTATCTGTTAAACCAATGCCTACCATGTTAACTTTATTTCCTCATGTGTGGTGAGATATTAGTCTGGAATCTGGCTCATCTAGAAATTTTGAAATGTCACGTGCCTTGGAAAATATTGGTGAATTAACAGTCAACATCCATTCAAATGTAATATCCTCTCCTCCAGGGGCTGGAAAACTAAAACTACATTTTCTAAACTAACTTGCAGCTTCTAAATGCAGTTAGGCTTGGTAAATCAGATGCACAGTTGCATGAGATTCGGCAGGCACAATCTCCACTATAACTCAAGAACAATTGTGGAAGCCTTTGTGTTTTCTATAGCATGCTTAGTAGAGAGTCCATTTTCCCATCACTCATTTTGTAAGTCATGATGCAGGATTGCCATCTTGCTGATTATTATAGTAGATGTGGTTTTGAAGAGGCAGCAGCTTTCTGAACATGGCAGTTTCCTGACTGTGGCTTTGGTAGGATAGTTTTGGAATCAGCTTCCAGATTTTTGAAAATGCAGTTGTTCTGAAGTTTGCCTTTAGAAGCCATTTTACTTTGACAATAGAAAATCCCTATACTATGGGAAACATTTTTTGAAAGCCCAACTTATAGATGGGTTCTTCTGTCCTCTCAATGATTCTGTAAGCCATTTAATACCCTATAATAAATTTCTTCCAATGTAAACAAGTTAGAGAAGATTGTGTTCTCTATATAGATTTTGCTTTCTCTCTCTCTCTCAACTAACCCCCAACTGATACACCATGGTTTTGGTAATCAACTATACGCATTTGCTCTTGTGACATCTTTTGGACAATATATCATCTGCCTTACCTTGATAGGTTCTCCATGGGGAGACATAACTTCATCAGAGAGCTCCATCATCTTCAGGGCCATCAGCGCTATCTGAACAGCATGAGTATCACTCTCTTTGTGTAATCCCCCAGCTACACAATAGGCATCGCCAATGGTCTCCACCTAGACATAATATATTTTCCATACTATAAATAAATGCTCAGGAAGAATCACAGCCTACATCGGATAGAAGAAATTAAGTCATATAGCAGAATTCTCATTGCTCAGGCCTTCTGGAGGATCAGGGTTAATCAGATACGCCCAGAAATGGCTTTCTTTTTCAGGAAATGCGCAAGGTTTAGACCCATTACATTGAGGCACTGCACTGAGAGGCAGTACAGTCCTATGAACACAGTAACAGTTGACTTCTACTCCCAGATTTGCACACTGACTCATCATATCATTTCATCTCTTTTTTTTCACCATATAAGATAGTTTTTGTAGAAACAATATATTTTTGAATTATAATAAATTGTTTAAAGATGTTGGGATCATTTACTCGTTTTATATCCTCCTCATCATAAAATAGTATTTTGCCTCAAGTCACTACTCAATAAATGTCACATCAATGCAGTAAAATTGTGCAATGTAAAACCAAGATATTAATAGTCATAAGAGTAAAGAGAAACGGTTCTTCTAAAGGACCCTTGGGGTCCTCATAGCAATTACATATCTAATGGATACTAATCACAATTATAAAAACCAAGATGTTGAACCAGCAGGTAAAAACAACGGTGGTGTTTGAAAGACCACTGGAAATCAAGCTATTATCAAAAATCTAAGTATTAACCTTATCATTATCATCATCATTATTGTTGTCGTTACAGGCAATTTTTATCTGTCTGTGATGCTGGCTGCAAAAAGCAGATAGTTAATTTTAGTCCAGAAATAACCCCCTAATTCTAAGAGCTTCATTTTTCTTCTTCTCCAAATGTTTATTGTAACTATAAGACCCTATTATTCTTACACAAAGCCTCAATTGTGAAAGGATGAGGGTGAGAAAGGAAAAAAGAAAGGAGGCACAAATCTTCAGAAATTCCCCTCAGAGTAGATGCTGATACCCTTATTATGGCTCCAGATTTCTTCTTTACCTGTCTTTCTCCTAATCTCTGACTTTATCTTCTTATTCTCCATATTGCTCACTTAGTTCCAATGTCACTGCCTTCCATTATCCTTTAAGCACATCAAACATGCTCCCACTTGCTATTCCTTTCTCCTGGAGCAATCTCTCTGCAGATAACCACGTGGTTGTCCCTCCTTTCCTTCAGTCCCTGCTAAAACCTCACCTTATTAGAAAAGCTGATTCCTACCACCCTCTAAGAAATAGCAATCACCCCTTACCCACTGCCCTTCTTCTTCCCCTTAACCTACTTTATTTTTCTTTCACATTATTATACTGACTTAAATACTATAAATTTACTCATTTGTTTATTGTCTTTGTTTCCCCTAATCATATGTAAGCCCTTTGAGTTTATCTAGTTTATTGACTCCTACATTACCTGTGCCCAGTAATGAATGAACCAGGTGGCAATGCCACCCATAAGCTTTTTCTCAGCAATGAGTACATAAGAAGTGCTCATCATGATGGCCATCACAGGTGCTCAATAAATAGGCTAATTAGAAGAAGTCCTACACCCACCCCTACCTGATGTTAGGGGCCTACCATATCTGCTTTTGCAGCCCTTTGTGCATACTGCATCCCTTCGTCACGTCATATGGAAATCTGGCATTGGTCCATTGTGCCCTCTTCTCCCTCTCCATATGTGAACTTTCCTCACAGGGATTGTACCCTCTAGCTCTGTAGCCACTGCGCACCCATGCTGGCAAATGCTGGATAACCAGTACATATTCGCTGAAACAATGGGTAAATGAACACACAGAGAAACAGAAAAATGGCCAAAAACCCAAGAAAGACAGAGAGAAAATAAAATTAAATAAAGCCCTAGTATAATCCAGTCTTGGAATAAATAACGCTGACTATTCTTTCAAAGCCATTGGCACTCATAGGGTAGGCTACGATTATACATTTTGTGTATCTGAAACCCTTCTATATTTATTTTCAGCTATCTCGAAGTAATCTCAAGCAAAATCAGAAGTGAAAAAAAAGTAGAAATGAGGGCTGGCATAGAAGGTAATTTACTATCTAGTTACAACTCTAGTTAGATTAATCAGGGAACTCTGTGGCTGTTGTCCTTATACCTTACAGTGAGGAGCATAGTTTCAAAATGCTTGTCAGGATACTTAAAAACTATACCCTATATCCTTGATAGAAATAACCAAAAGTAGAAGAGGGCTACTTCTGTTAGCAATTACAGCAGTTTGCAAGGAAGAGAGACTTCCTTCTCACAATTCTAAGACAGGAGACCGTCTCAAGATAGAAAATGGCTACAAATAAATATAGTAAATTCCACAAGAGGCCATCAAACTTAACGTAACTGAAGCCAATTATTTTTTCTGTAAGTATACATGGACCTCTTTTTCCCCAAGGGAATCATGGCTCTGTTTGGACTTTCCTGTTAGGAATTTTTAAAAGTAAGGTTTTACTTCTGGCATCTAGAATAAAACAAGACAAGAGCTTATGTATTATCATGAATAATATTCGTTTCTTCCACAATAATTTATTTATTTCCTGTTGGGTTCAGCTCTGAAATGTCAGATTGTTATGTGGCAAGTTCAGAAGATGATTCAAGCCATACAAATGAGAAATACGCTTTATTCTTAGTGCCAATGTCTAAAAGAAAGCAAAGTAATTTAAATCAGTAAAAACTTTTAATTCTAAAGAAGCAGGCAGAACTTGAAATCTCTTCATTAGCTCTCTTACTAATAGTAGTTACGTTTAAAAAGAAAAGGTATCAGGGATGGTCACTGCTGTATCCCCAGTGCCTACAATGATGCCTGGCTCATCCTGTATGACTGATGAATATCATGTATTACCTAACATAATCTTTATAACAATCCTGTTCATGAAGATTATGGGAGATAATGTGTGTTATTCATGCATATAAACTCTGTGAGTGAATATTATTTTCTCTGTCTTAGAAGTGATGAGAAAGGTTTTTTAACTTGGTCAGTTTACAAAGCAAGTAAGGCAGAGAACAAGATTTGAAGATAGGTCTTTCTTTTTCAAATGTCTCTGCCCTTGGCCAAGCTGCAAAAATGCCTTAAGTAGGTGATTTTGATTTCTGTTAACTGGCCATGAAAAGTATCATGTTAACTCTATATTGAAGTAATCTATTTAAAGGCAATTTTTATAATCCTCATGTGTCTTTACTCTTACAGATACAAAGGATAATGTTTCCTTGTATAAGCCATACTTTGAATTATCTCACACTTAATAATTCAACTCGGTTTCCACAGTGAAGTGGCAGATTCACTATTAAACTTCTCCTATTCACAGGTCCTACACCCCATCCTCCATTCTTTGAGCACCCTATCCTCCCTCCATTCTCTCCTCATTCTTTGAGAGGACAGTGTGGCAGTCCTCCCAGAACAATTATCTCTGTTTCTGGGCAGATTCAGAGCTATTGCTGGCTGGAAAACACCCACATAATGAATGCACCATACCTGCTCCCAGGACTGGGCTTGCAAGACCCTACAGAGGTGGCCTTTCAGTTGCATTATAATTCAGGTCCTAGGCACAGTGCTTGTTCCCCAGTGAGTTTGCTGGTAAAACAATTATTTCCCTGGTCCACTCCTACCTTGTAGACATCCAGCTCTCCACACTGCTGGTCGAAGCGAGTGTACAGTGCATTGAGCATGGTGATGACCTGCAGCGGTGAGCACTGGGAGCAGATGGCAGTGAACCCAACGATGTCTGAGAAGAGCATGGTGACATTACTGAACTTCTTGGCTTGCACAACTTGCCCTTGCCACAGCTGCTGAGCAACCTCACAGGGAAATATGGAGCACAGAAGGTCTACTGTCTTTTTCTTCTCCTCCTCCAGGGCTTGGTGGGCTTGCTCAAGGGTAGCCTTCAGCTTCCCCAGCCTCTTCTTCAGGCCATCTTGAGCTCGGGCTTGTTCCCCTATTAAGACCACATCCCTCAGTGCATTGTGAATTGGGATGTCTGAGAGGTAGAGCCCTCGTCCTGTAAAATCTTCTAATCTGTCCACACAGGGTGACCCCAAAAACAAGATTGCACTGGATTCAACAATGTAGATCATTTGGCCTTTGAGGTCCATAACCTATGAAGGAAAGGATAACCAATTGTGGTTTATTCAAGTTTCCCACATCTTTCTGAGACAAAAGAAGGGGAAGTAGATACAGTAATAAACCCTTTGTGTTTAAACCTGCTGAAAAGGAACAATTTGCTTTCTTATAGTTCCTATTTTCTATGAGTTCTAAAATGCGTGCAGATGTTTGAAGAGTATATTAGAGTATACTCTACACAGAAATCAAGATTTACAATGAACAATGCAAAACGCTCTTGCTTCAAGGCTTTCTCACTAAGCAGCATGCTGATGCTTTTGCTACTATATTCTTCTTAATGGTCTCACTTGATTAATCTGAAGTTCTATTTTTTGTATAATATGGTAGTCAGGAAAATGTGTCCTTTCTTTCTTCCTTCTTCCCTCCCTCTTACTTTTTTCTTTGTTCTATTTTTTTGGCTTCCTTCTCTTTTAGCATGTTTCTCTTCTCTTCCCCACTTCTCCCATAAGTACTTGCTCCATCTGGCAGGTATGGAAGTGAAAAAGCCTCCAAAGGTAAGATTTTTATCTTAATTTTTTTTTCTGTCGTGAGAGAGATGGGGCTTCAAGTGATCATCCTGGACCACAAGAAGGTTTACTTGCACATGTGTGGACAAAGATGTGCATGTGTGTTCTTGCAGCAAAAAGCCAAAAGCAACCCAAATATCCTTCAGTAGGGTACTAGTTAAATAAAGTAGAGCTTAGGAGAACGAGGCGGATGGATCACCCAAGGTCAGGAGTTCAAGACCAGCCTGGCCAACATGGCGAAACTTTGTCTGTATAAAAAATACAAAAATTAGCCGGATGTGGTGGTGCAAGCCTGTAATCCCAGCTACTCGAGAGGCTGAAGCGGGGAGAACTGCTTGAACCCCGGAGTTGGAGGTTGCAGTGAGCTGAGAACACGCCACTGCACTCCAGCCTGGGCGACAGAGCAAGACGCAGTCTAAATAAATAAAATAAAATAGAGCACAACCATATGATGGGATACCACTAAGACTCCAAGAAAGCCAAATAGACCTATATCTAATGACATGGGAGGATGCACAAAATACACTGTTTCATGATAAAAGCAGTTGTAAAATAGCATTTTTTTGTTTTAAACAAAAAATGTATATAATTAGTTTTTCATTTTTTTGCTACAATAAACACCTTTCAATATTACTCATTTTTTAAACATCTCAATATATTTTATTATTTTTATGATAGAAAAGCAATAATAAAGCTGTTTTCCTTTTGGGGAACAAATGGTGCTTCTGTTAAAGTTATACATGTGTGAAACTTCTCTCTTAGCTTTGCTTGTATTATCAACTATGAGTTAGCAAACTTTCTTTCCTGAGACTAAATAATTACCAAAGCTCTCTACCATGAGATGACAGAATATGTTTTAACTTCCACATTCGGTAACAATTAATCAAATAAATTATTTGTTTTTTTCATGTCTATTAAATGTTGATTAAAAATCCATTTAGTTGCCTCCTACAAGAAACAAGTGACTTTTGTTTGTTGTAAAACAATACCTCTTATTATTCAACCTAAGTCAGCTATTTGATAATTGAAAACATTTTTATATAAACATTTATCAAATTTCATTATAAAACATTCCATAAAGATATTAAAAGGCAGACTGCATTCAATAAATATTTTTGGAGTAATGAATCAAGTAAGCAAACAAATGCAGAAAGAATTTTGTTTTCAGTTTATTACAGCTTTACAATTCTTTTACCATTGTTTTACATATGTTTTATCAAACATTTGAAGTGATGCATATATTTTTACCCTTTTGTTTCTTGCTCTTAAATATGAAATAGCTTTCATATTCAAGATAGTATTATGTTTTCCTTACCCTTGAAGATTTTTTCACAGAGTTGTCCCATCTCCTCACTCGTACAACAAACTGCATATTCAACATAGTCATGATCCCGCTAAACGTCTGGTTGATTTTTGGAGTCAGAATTTCAAAGTATTCTTCAAAATTAGGCTTTCCTTGAAAGTCTCTCCTGTTCATCAGCCTTCTGATGCCATTGCCAAATTGCAGAATTGTCATATCTTTGTCAAACATGAAATGGAATGGAAATGTCTTGCAGAATAGCGATGTGGGAATCACCAGCGAGGACTGGGGTTTGCTGGGGGACAGGGATGGCTTGGTGCTTTTCATGTGAACGGAGTACAACAAGTAGGGCTGATTCACAAACTCGCTGCAATCATTATGGAAGCAGGGAGGCATTAACGACACTTCCACTTCCGTTTCATATAATACGTGAGCAGCTGCCTTTATGATGCCGGGAAGAATCAGGGAGGTGGTTCTCTTAGGGAAGAAGTAGTAAACATGTAGAAAATCATCCTCCTTATCCAGGCATAGAATGGAGGCGTCCTCAAGCCTGCCCCTTTTTCCTGCTTCTTGGCAATGGCTGCTCTGTTTCAGAAGGGTACTGAAGCTGTTTAAAAAATCTTTAAGGGTGCCTCCAACCACCCCAAGGATGTTTTCATCTTCCTCGTAACATATTTTAAAAACCTCTTCACCAAGAGATTCTTTGATAACCTCCACTGGAACTCCTGAAATCACATAATACATGTTCTGCCATATCAAATATGCCACCTTGGTAAAGCTGTGCCATTATTCCTATTTTCAACTTGCGTTATTTGCTGATTTAGCTCCCTTTATATCTGCTAATAACATTTCCAACCAAAATGAAACCCCTATATCCAAATTATCTACCTAGGTTAGCTTCTAAAATTCTAGTAACTGAAGAAAAATCCCAAACTAGTTCATTAAAAAAGAATGACCGGTTGAGTATAATACACAACTTTTTATCTCCCTGAAACCTAACTACAAAAGAATAATTTGAATTCCAGTATTAAGTACATTTTGGCAAAAGTCCTCCAATCTTTCTGTTAACAACAAAAGCAATCCATCCTCATGAAGAGGATCTTCCTCTATGAGGGTTTCCAGCAGCAAAAGGGTCAGACACGGAAGTTAATTTAAAATTACTGGCATGAAACTCAGTTTTGTCTAGAAATGATTACAAAGCATTTTTTCCTGAATCAAATCGCATTCTTGTTGTTTAGTGTTAGCTGAATGAATGTCTGCTTGGAGTATATAATTTACTTTCTATAGCATTTTCACGAGTGCTATAAGGTTAGAAATAAGCCTCTGTATGTCTGTGTCTTTTTACAATGTTAGGCTTTTATTAATATTATTTTTTATCATAAAAGCCATGAGTTACATGAAGTTTTTAAGGAGGCAATTTTTTTTTTCTTCTTTGAGACAGAGTCTCGCTCTGTCGCCCAGGCTGGAGTGCAGTGGTGCGATCTCGGCTCACTGTAAGCTCTGCCTCCCAGGTTTAGGTGATTCTTATGCCTCACCTCCAGAGTAGCTGGGACTACAGGTGCACACGAGCATGCCTGCCTAATTTTTGTACTTTTAGTAGAGACGGGTTTTCACCATGTTGGCCAGGCTGGTCTTGAACTCCTGACCTCAGGTGATCTGCCCACCTCGGCCTCCTAAAGTGCTGGGATTATAGGCGTGAACCACCATGCCTTGCCAAGAGGCAGTTTTTTTAGTACTTTCTGTTTACTTGTTTCTTAGAGCTGCAGGCACACAGGCTCAAGTCACTCCACAAATCAGTTAGTATTGTAAACGATACATAATAGTATGCTTAATTAATATAGAAAATATAAATGTTATAGGTTAAATATTTTGTAACAAAGTAACACTTAACATCAAAAGGAAAAAGAGATAGGAGAAAGAATTAACAAAGGAGGGTGGGTATGGTGAAGAAGACAAAAGGAGTCTTGGTTTGGGTCAGGCCGTCTTATAAGAAAGACTCTTTGAGATGGCAGAGCCTTTGGTGGCAGATGTCCAGTTTTTATCACGAGTGAATGTAAGAAGGTGTCAGGACGACCGTTTTGAGTTGTTGAAGGTTTAATTTTTTATAGTTACAGAGTCCTCTGGTGAGAACTGATAGTGGAAAAGTGTGTTTGTGTTTTTATCTTGTTGTATGTAGTTTTCATTTTTTTAAATTTGTTTATTAAATAAAACATGCTATTTTTGTTGGCAAAATGCCCTACAAAATACAAAATGGAGTCTTTTTTAAAGATGGAGTTAGTTATGTCAAGGGTGCTCTGTATGATCTTCCCTTTCTATAATCTCCTTTAATCTTTACACTCTGAGTACCACATTTTTTCTTATCTGTAATGTGGGAAAAAGAATAGTGCCCTCTTCATAGCACTGTTGTGGGGCTTATATTCAGAATAGGGCCTTGCTCCTAGGGGGGCCTCAATATACGTTAGTCATTATTATTATTATCAATATCTTATACTTTTAGAAAGATGCAACCTCGTGGTTCATGTACTGAAACTTTGGAAAGGACAGCAAGACAAAGTCACATATCAATTTTTTCTCTCAAACTAATCATTAATGTGAGAATACTGTTAACTTTTTTCCCATGACTGCTCCTAACCTTTAAAAGCATTCTTTATTTTACCTTGTTGAGTAGAATTTTTGATGTATAAATGAGGAACAGTTAGTTAGGTTCAAGATCAAAGCCTGTGAATATCTGTGAGACAGCTTCCCATCTAGCCTTATCTACTCCTCAGCAAGTAAACATAAACAGAGAAAATGTTTTAGGTCAAACAAAAACATATAGTATCAAAAAGAGTTACTCTTTACGTTAACAGAATACATAATATTGAACACTTCATACTGGGAGTCACCAACAAATAAATATGAATATTTTTGGAGAAAATGTGAGTTCTACAGGTATATGGCATACTTTCTAATTACATAAACAATTCTATTACCTGCTGCAACTGCTTGCTCTGCAATTGTTTTTTCAAAGTCTTCTCTTTCCAAAGATTTCCTGGAAATATTTCAATATTTTAAGTTATAAACTTATAAATACATGCTAAAAGTTCAGATTATAATATACAGAAACAATGATAGAAAATAGTTTAAATTAGGCCAGGCACAGCGGCTCACGCCTGTAATCCCAGCACTTTGGGAGGCCGAGGTGGGTGGATCACAAGGTCAGGAGTTCAAGAGCAGCCTGGCCAATATGGTGAAACCCCATCTCTGCTAAAAATACAAAAATTAGCTGGGCATGGTGGCGTGTGCCTATAATCCCAGCTACTTGGGAGGCTGAGGCAGAAGAATTACTTGAACCGGGACCTGGCGGGGCAGAGGTAGCAGTGAGCCGAGATCAGCCACCACTGCACTCTAGCCTGGCCAACACAGGGAAACTGTCTCAAAAAAAAAAGAAAGAAAGAAAGAAAGAAAATAGTTTAAATTCCCTTTTCTGTAGAAGCAAATCTTGACTATCAATTTTATGAGAAAGGAGCAATGACATATACCATCCAGAACAATGTTGGAAAACCCCAAAATATATATGACATAGAATGTTTTGTTATTCTTCATAAGAAATATTTACCTTTAAAGTGAACTTTACATAGACTAATACAGACAGTCTCAGACTTAGGATTTTTTTTTTTTTTACCTTTATATCGGTGCAAAAGCTGTAAGTATTCAGTGGAAACTGTACTTCAAAGTTTGAATTTTGATTTTCTCCCATGCTACAGGTATGGAGTACAATGCTCTCATGTGATGCTGGGCAGTGGCAGTGAGCCACAGCTCTCATGTGGCCATGAAATTGTGAGGGTAAACAACCGGTACTCTACAGTGCACTGTGTTGCCAGATGATTTTGCCTAACTCTATGCTACTTTAAGTTGCTGAGGACATGTAAGGTAGGCAAGGCTAAGCTATTCAGTAGGTTAAGCGTGTTAAATGCATTTTCCACTTAGGGTGTTTTCAAGTTACGATGGGTTTATCTGGACGTAACTCCACTGTAGGTCAAGGAGACTCTGTACTCAGGAGAACCTTCCCTGGCTAGCAACCTCAAATGTGAAGTGGCCAAGAAGAGGATGGTAATTCTGATAACCAAGAAAAACCTACATACAGATAGAATTCACTTTTAAGTAATATTATATATTTTCCTAAAGCAAATACATAGAATCTTTTGCTTCTTAGTTTAAGGCTGTGTTTATCTCTCAGATATCATTATATTAAACTTTAATCCTTGATTTTGTATAAAAAATTAGTAATGAAAGAAACCTATTCTTCATGCAATTACTGCACTTGTTTTACAGCATAGAAATTGAGACTGTAATAGCATGCTTTTTTATTGATAAGATTTTTTTGCAGTTTTAACTGCACGACTTGTTGATTCATGTTTGCCTAATTGTTTGTGATGATTTCTGATAGTGATGAGTGATTATGACAAAATTTGCCAAATGAGCGAAGCTTAGTTTGTCCAAACAGCACATAGTGCAATTCAAACTACAATTCCTACCCTCACCTTCAAAAAATACAAGTGGGTGTAAGCATTGCACATGCACCAGCCAACACATGTGTGCCTTATACAAATACACACACACACACACACACCAGCATGAGTTCATACATATAATGATGTGATCAAAAGATCCCAGAAAAAGAAACTAAGCAAGAACTCTCTGGGCAACCAATCCTGAGGGACATGATGGCTATACTAACACTCATTCACTGAAAAAAAAAAAAGAGGAGGGGGGCAGCTCTAGTCCTTCATTCAAGGGCAGTTTATTGGTTGATATATTGGATTTTTGTTTGTCAATTCGTAGAAGAGAATAAGCAGCACAAAAAAGAGTTAAGTTGTGTTCAGCAGTTGGCAAACTGACAGCAATAAAAACGGCAGTGACTTACCAATAAGAAAGTGAAGTAAAAAATCTTTAAACAAGAGGATACCCCAAAACTAAAAAAGCACAGAGGAACCACTTAACATATCAGCAGGCAGGCTTATGAGCAAAAATCTTGTTTCAACAACTGAATAGTTCTCATCAAGAAAATTTAAAAGTATAATCAGATTTCTTTTTTTTATATTTAGGGACATCAGGGAAGTGGTAAACAAAAATTTCAAAATTTCAAAAAAATAATTATTGTTGGCTTAAGTTTTGAGATTATTTTAAGAGGCACACTGCTGGAAACACATCATAACTGAGTATTGCAAGAAGCTGTAGGAACGATTCAGAACACAAAGCCCTGAGAATAAATTTTGAGTAAACTGGCTGCCAAGGACTTAAGCAGACAGACACAGTAGCACAGTGAGAGACTTAAGACTATCTTATCAGCTTGACTGGTTATTAAGGTCAGAGGTGTTCTGGAATGCTTCTCATGTTACTCGTGTAAACAAAGCTTCTGTCAGACACATAGATTCACACTCTTTCCTTCTGGACCTGTCCATGACCCCTTCTTGGCTTGGTCCTGCTGCCTGCAGTCTGGGACCAGCTAGTCAGCAAGGAAAATCAAGCACATATGATCCACAGAGCAGATGATCACTCATGAGTAGGAGACAGATGAATGAATTGTTAAAACATTCCTGACAATAGTGCTGGTTTGTAAAACTCCAATGTTCAGTTCTGCAAATTTCAACACCAGTATTTATTCTATTATTTATAGACCAAATAAACCTTGAAATTTCAGGGAATCAAAAACGGGGCCTATTACTTTTTTTTTTTTTTTTTTTTGAGATGGAGTCTCACTCTGTCGCCCAGGCTGGAGTGCAGTGGCACAATCTTGGCTCACTGCAACCTCTGTCTCCTGGGTTCAGGCCATTCTCCTGCCTGATTAGCTGGGATTACAGGCATCTGCCACCATGCCTGGCTAATTTTTGTGTTTTTAGTAGAGACGGGGTTTCGCCATGTTGGCCAGTCTGGTCTCGAACTCCTGACCGCAGGTGATCTGTCTACCTTGACCTCCCAAAGGGCTGGGATTTGCCACCGTGCCTGGCCCCTATTACATTTTCTGTCAGCAGTAAATGTGCTAAATTGTATTTGATTCACTAAATAAATCAGATTTAAAAAATGTAACTTTAGAGACAAGGCGCAGTGGCGCATGCCTGTAATCCTAGCAGTTTTGGAGGCCAACGCGGGTGAATGCTTGAGCTCATGAGTTTGAGACCAGCCTGAGCAACACGGTGAAACCCCATCTCTACAAAACAAAAACCAAAACAAAAATTAGGTGAGCATGGTGGCACATGCCTGTAGTCCCAGCTGCTCGAGAGGTTGATGTGGGAAAATGGCTTGAGCCAGGGAGGCAGAGGTTGTAGTGAGCCAAGATTGCACTGCACTCCAGCCTAGGCGACAGAGCAAGACCCTGTCTCAAAAAAATAAAAATAAATTTTAAAAAAGTAACTTTAGGTCCATGCCCTTAATCTCAGTTTTTTGGGAGGCTGAGGCAGAAGGATGGCCTGAGCCCAGGAGTTCTGGGCAGCAGTGAGCTATGATCACACCACTGCATTCAGCCTGGATGACAGAGTGAGACCCTGTTTCTAAAAAAAAAATAAAAAATAAAAAGTAACTTTATATTAAGCCTCTTCAGAAATGCTTTAAAGGAAAATTTCAAAGAATACTAGAAAAAAAGTATAAACAAACTGATGTTCTGCAGTGCAACCAAACTAGTTAGGAGAATACAGAAACACTTCCCTAAGGATTAATAAACAGCTGCTACCCCCCGGAACCCTGAGTCCCCCTCCTCTTAAGCACTTGATCCTTCTACCTCCTCCTGATGCAGATACTAAAGTATTAACATGTTGTTGAGATGTGTGTTGGGGATGGGGTACCTGCTGGGACCCTGCTCAAAACTTTGGCAGCATCCTTCAGGCAGGAAGTCTTGATTGTTTGGGATCCATGACTTACCTGTTGTTAAATATTTTAGAAGTTACCAATTAGTACAAAAGAATCGGCCTTACAGGAGCTTGTTAAAGCAGCAGTTTATAACTACATGCTTAAAATAATGGCTCTGAAAAACCCAGGCTCGAACCCCAGCTCTGTCTTTTCCTTAAACGGCTATAAAATTCTAAATACTTCATATAAACCTGAGTTTAATCATTTATAAAATGTGATAAATAGATGCACTTACTTTGAAATTAGTATCAGCTAAAGTACTAAGTCCAGTTTCTGACATACCACAATGATTCAATAAAGGGCTGACACATTCAGTAACTGCTGGCCATTAGTAGCAGTATTAGTCATTGTAATAAGAGGTTCACACAACTAAAGTGGTTTGACTTACCTGCTTTCTTTTATTTTGTGCTTTGCCAATGTTCTCTGAAGTGCAACATTCAGCCGTTCAAACTGAAAGTTCAAAAGAAATGTTTTAAACATTCCCTTATATAATAATTTGTTTGGAATTATATATTTAAAAATGCATCCTGAAGATTTATTTTCGAGAATAAAGCACATTATACAATTGCTTGAATGATAAATGTTATGAATTTTCACTTTGGAAACTGGAAGTGATTTTCTATGTGTTTTTCAAACTGGAGAGGAAGCAATGTGCTGAGACTAATCTGAGATTGGATATGTGTTGTGGCCCACAGGTTTAGCCTTTGGTGGTGGTCTCACTGACAGCCACAGAATAGTTGAGCTGAGTGTGAACCCAAACAGAAGATTTCAGTTTGGTAGTGTTAGGTCTTCTGCAATATAGGATTCCATGGGCATCACTTCCTCTGAGTCAGGAAATCCCTCTGGACGGGCGGCCAATACTTCAATCTCAGCATGGACCAAGCCAAGCAAATTTCTGTTCCTTTCACAAACTCCACACCCAGCTGCCCCAGTGACTCTCTGCCCTTAACTATACATTCATATCATCTTCTTGTCTAGCAAACTCTGGAGTTATCTCTGTCTCTTCCTTTTTTGATCTCTTAAATCTAATCTGTCACCAAAGTTAGTTGATCATTTATTTGAAATGAGCCTTGGGTTTACCTTGGCTTACACTGATTTCCTTTCTTTGAACTAATAATCCTCATCAAATACTTATGGTTTTATTTTCTTTTATTGATTTCTGAGAATTTCATGAGTTTCCTTATTTTGCAAGACATTTGTATGTAAGCTTTTATACTTAATAAATACATGTTGAGTAGCTATTAATTTATCTTAACAGCTGATTGTCTCTAATAAATAAGTGGAAAGTAGAGCATTGATAAGCAGTGTTGTCCATTTTTATATATTCCATGTAAAAATCATATGTATCTATGTATGTACCTCCCTCTCACTATATATGTGTGTATATATAGAGATATATATAAAACTATATATTATATATATAGAACCATTGATTCTTTCTATAGTTTCCCCAGAGGAAAGTGAAAAATTTTTTGCTGTCCCAAGTTAAGAAATTCCTTTTTCCTTAAAAACTATTTATATCTCTTGTAGAGTTTCCACCAGTCAAGTGAGGTACTGGAGTAAACCAAAATAGATCAAGGTTCTGTTTTAATGACATGAGTTATGAAAAGGGCTTTTAGTTTTAAATATACACATACAAAGCTTAGAAAGAAAATTTAAAAATGTATTGAAAGAAAACACAATTGCTGAAAAAAAATTAAAGAGAATTTAAATTTACAATGTGGAACAATTTTTCAGACTGTTCAGATATAGAGAGAAAGGATACTATCTGCCACAGGATGAAAGAAAAGCTGGTGGAAGACGCACCCAGAGGGCAGATTCTGAGTCGGGCTTGGTGAGCTATGTAAAGGCAAAGGGCAGTTGAGAAACATGTTCAAGAAAGAAACTATGGGCATATTTCCTAGACATCTTTCTCATCAAGGAAAAAGGAAGGTAACATTAAATTAGTGACACTATACATGAAGTAAATCAGCCAGGGTGCTTGAAATGTTTAAATATTTCAAGAACCATCTACTTGGTACAGTAGAAAGTTACTCCAGTTAACAGAGTATCAATGTGGATACAAATCCATGAAAGCATGAGTGGCTATGAATTATTTGTTCCTGCAAAATACATTCATATGAAAAAAGAAGTCTTTAATAAAATAAGGGTTGCTGCCTTTGTGCCTGAGCTCTCAGTTTTTCTTCATAGCATTTGCTCGCCAACTTTGTAAATTTTTCATAATCTGTCTCTTCCATTACAACAGAAGCTCCAAAAGGGCAGAGAGTGTCGGTTTTGCTTACCCCTCCATCCAAAACCTACAATGGTACCTATCCATAGGAGATGTTCAATACATATTTATTGAATGAATGAATGAATGAATGAATGAATGATGTCCACCTGCCAGCTATTCAAAGTCTTGAAGGCTTAATCTATAAAATTTTATCTGTGAAGTGATAAAGCCAGATATAGAGGTGTTACTCTCTTAGCTTGTTTACAAACAAATTTAGGTTGTTTCCAATGTAAACTATTTCAATTATATTTGTTTATATATATATTAATTGCTTCTTGAACCAGGAACTTCTTTTTTTTTTTTTTTTGGATATAGAGTTTTGCTCTGTCATCCAGGCTGGAGTGCAGTGGTGATCACAGTTCACTACAGCCAAGAACTCCTGAGCTCCAGTGATCCTCTTGCCTCAGCCTCCCAAGTAGCTGGGACTACAAGTATGAGCCACCATGCTCGCCCTGACCAGGAACATTTTGTGGGCCAGGGAGAAAGAAAACCCAACCAATTCTGCCACTGAAGAATGCTTTCTTCTTCCTCTTCCATGCTACTGGAGATACTCCACTCCTCTTTATGTCTCTGATTAAGCCATTGGGTATACTCTTTTACCTTTTTAGTCAAGATGTTTATTTGTCTTTCATTTCCTTCCTACTGCCACCAGAAATGTCTTTTTCTGGTCTTTTCCTCCTAACGTATACACTATCATTGTAAGAGGGGAGGAGAAATGGTCCCCTTCCAATTGCTAAGGTTGGTGGAGCAAATGTATGTTTGGCTTTCCATTTTGAATCAAAACTTATTTTCCTAAAGAAAAAAAGGAATAAAGTCCGTGCAAAGCATTAGTAGCATACTTGACCAATATTATGAGTGAATAGGCTTTTATGGAAATTGACATTCATCTTATACCATTGCTCTTCTGGAAAATTTTTGTAAATTCAAAACAAAACCCATAAGAGACAGAACTCACATGTTTTCCAGGCAGAATATTTATTGGTAGAGGCTGCTGGTGCATCGAGTTTCCTACCTTGGTGCTGTACTTCCTGTGATATATCCTGACCCTGAGATAATATGAGTCCACAATAAAATTATAAGCAGGATTCAACTATAAGTGAGATCTGTCACACACAGCCAACCTCAGGGCCTCATAACATAAAATCAACCACTTCAGGACTGCTCCATACCCCAACAATTCTATATATTAATTTTTGGTTTCAGATTTTAGAACTAAATCCAATATTTCCTTCCAAATTCATTCCTTACAGTTCAATATATGTAAACATTGTGTAGCAGTCTTTTGTAAATCTTTTAGTTGTCTATCACTAAAACACCCTACTATTTGGGAAAGCCTTTATTTTGAATTTTGGGGGAACAGATCCTCTTATTTGTACAATCACTGGAACCTGAAGTATTGTAGATTGTGGACTTTCTGATTCACAGAGGGGACACTTGTTCCCCAATGCAAATAGTTTGTAGTGCTCTCAAGTTTGTTTCTCTTGACTAAACAATTATCTTTTGGCTCATAAAGAATAGATCTGATTAAATTATTAAAACAAGTACTTTTGCCACAAATATACCATATATGAATACTTCAGGAAAAACTGCTATTTGATGCAACATTGCTGTCAACAATGTGAATTTTAATAAAAATATCATTGGTGTGGTTTATGGATAAGTCACTATTTTCATTGGCTTTTTAATTTTCCTACAGTGCTTAACGTTTTTCTAGACCAATAATATTTTAATTCATAAGATAAATTGTAATACTGTTTCTTTTTCTTCTTTCAACCTAATATTCTAGAACACATCTACAGACCTCGTGATTCTCTTCAAATCCTACTCTTACTAGGTACTTGATTTGGGATCTTATCATTTATGTAAGCATATCCAATTCAATTATTTCAATTCAGTAAGTGGTTTCTGATTTGCTTTGACTGTGGCTCCATTAAAAGCTCCTTCAAGACAGTATGCCTGAAGGAGCTTACAGAATTATTGGGAAACAATACCCATGAAAAAAGAGCAAACAATATTATATTATGAAGAGCAATGGGTTGTGAATGAAATGCAGAGAGTTTTCCATTTCTCCAGTTATCTTTTGCTTTAAGCAAGAGATCTAAATTTATGTGTCTCTATTTCTTAAAATAGAAATGATAAGTTTGCATTAGATGATCAAGAAGACTTTTTAAAGCTCTAGTATTCCATTACTTGAGAACGACCTCTCTCATGTTACATTTTCTAAGGATAATACATTTTTATACTTGCCTGTTCACTAATAAAAATATAACCAGGAAGTTAATTCTGATTATCTAAAACAAAAATTGTGATGTCAAATGCTATTTTAAATATCTTCTTTTGTATTATTAATACAACTGACACTAAATAGCAGTCTAAGCATTAAATCTATAAACTTAACAAATAATCAGTAAAAAAACATAACAAGTATTTATCAAAGATAAGCAGATGTTTGAAGTCATCTAGATTGAGGACTACACAGCTCAAATGTATTCAACACTGGAACATTTACTGCCATAACGATAATATCTCAGTTGGAGAGGAGTTTTAGTTACTAATGCCAAACATACCTCTTCCATCTCCTATAGTCTTGCCCTCTCTGTTACATGACACTGTAGTCAAATCTTAATGCTTATTCTTACAAACTCATGAACAAACAACATAGACTACTAAATTTTTTATATACAATTTTAATTTGGTATTGCATCCTAGTCTTTCAGTACATTTTCCTAGGAAAAAGAGAAGGGAAGTTTATAGCAGCCTGTATGGCTCTTCAGGATCAGGAGAAGGCACACCACCCAGAAACTTCTCCCTCAGCAGGAAAAGAGAGGAATGGAACATGCACATCCATAGAAAATGTTTGAGAGGCTCTCAAAATCTCTAGCTGAGCCAATTGGTGAATGTCTTTTCCTGTGAAAACCAGTCTGAAAAGAAGCAAAGAGGTGACTGCATACTCAAGTGTGCAGGCACCAATGCAAAGCTACAAGGGACACGAAAAATCAGGGAAATATGATACAACCAAATAAATAAATAAATAAATAAATCTACAGTAACCAGCCCTAAAGAAATGAAGAACAATGAATTACCTGACAAAAAATTCAATATAATGAAATTTAGTGGGTTATAAGAAAACACAGACAGACAACTAAATAAAATAAGAAAACTATGCATGAGCAAAATGTAAACATCAACAAAGAGATAACCACAAAAATAGAGCCAAGTAAAAATTCTGGAATGAAAGAATAACTGAACTGAAAAACTCAATGGAAAGCATTAACAGCAGACTTAAGCCAAAGAATCAGCAAATTCAAGAGAGGTCATTTGAAGTTATTCAGTCAGAAGGGCAAAAAGAAGAATGAATGAAAAAGAATGAAGGAAGCCTGTGGAACTTTTGGTGGCACCATCAAGTGAACCAGAATTTTTTTGTTGTTGTTGTTGAGACAGAGTCTCGCTCTGTCGCCCAGGCTGGAGGTGAACCATAATGTTTTTTAAAAAAGAGTCCAATATGTGTATGACTTCCATTGCAGAAATTCAAAATTTACCAAACAAAATGATAAAGCCAACATAGTAAGGACAGGATTCAGGGAAAACATAGAAGCAATCTCAGCTTCCTCATCATCACCTTTGGTTCATTTCTGTTCATTTCACTCTGTCCTTGAAATGAGAGCACCGATTGTTTCCCAGACTGTGCTACAAACCAACTCCCTGAGGAGGGCTCTATCCTTTATCCTAGCCAATGCTGGCTGTCTAGCAACTAGAGTGTGGTAAGAATAATTAAACATTTCCATTTCAAAGGTTATCTGCCAAAGTACTATTGTGTTAATATTATATCTGAAATAAACTCCCTCAACTTTCTGCTAAGTCTAATTTATCCATCTTTCAAACTTCAATTTCTTCTTTCTCAGTCATTCCAGCCTGGACTGTTTACAGCAGGAATTAATTGCTCTACCCTTTGAAAGCTGTGTAATTTTGGTCAAGTCACTGAACTTCCCTAGCACTTCCTGGGAGTGAAACAAGATTATCTGTTAAATTCCTTTCAGTTCTGAAAATCAGCCAGTCCATGTTTCTTTGGTGCTTTGCACACAGTAGAGGGTTGGTATTGAGTCAATTAAAAATTATCAATGTATTATGTTAGCTGGTGTCTGATTAAGTCAATGTCCAGCCAAATTCATAGGTTAAGCAAATCTATATAAAACTATGAAGACTGACAGAGGGAGGAAGACATCATGAAGACCTTCAACTGCTCTTCTATTTATTTAGGTCTGTGTCCTCTTCCCAGAAGTTTCCTTCAAGGTGGATTGACAGAAGGTGCTCTAGATCTCAACATGACACTATGCTATGCAGCTTGCAGGGCTATATGAAGAAGTGTGAGACCTAATAACACGCAGGTGTAGGCAATCACAGGCTCATGACTCCGACCCAAGGGAGAAAGTCAAGACTGGCTTGAGCAGAACTTCAGAATCAGAGCAAGTGGCCAAGGGAGATTTTCACAACTCTGAAAACTGGCAGGGGACGTATGATGCTCTTTAAAATTAGGAGAGAAAATTTGAGCAGAAAATAAGTTATTCTTTGAAGAATTTAATTTTAAGATAATAGCTAACAACTACTGATCACTTATGTTATGGCAAGAGCTATGGATGGTTTCACTTAAAACTCATTAAAACTGTAGAAGGTGGGTACTACTATTATTTCCATTTTAGGGATAAGGAAGCTGAGGTAAAGAGGCATTAAGCCTGTTGCCCAAAATCATAAAGTTTGTCAGACTGCAGTGTTCTTTTGAAAAGAATTCAAGATCATAAACATTTTAAGATAAAACACAACTTAAGAACACAATTGCTTTAAAAGAATATTTTTATGTGTTTCAAGAAAATATTCTACATTTATTGTAGCCTTGAAAGTGAGAAAGGAAGTGTTTAAATTTTCCTTGGAAAAACATTCTTCTACAATTTCAAAGTATTACAATTTCAAAATCTAAAGAGCACGCACTCACCTCTGGGAAAATCAGTTTGCAAATACTCTCTGCCAAAGTGTGAAGATAGACTCGGCTCCGACTGGTTTTTCTTTGAGGAAGACTTTCTTGTATGTTCTTCTCAGGAATGTCTTGACAGATGGGCACGGTTGCTTTGCAGCTCTCTGAGCTTCCTGCTGCCTCCTCTGAAGACTCGTTAGGAACTTGACCTGGTGCCAGTAAGGAGAAAGGACACTCTCCTGTGATCTTGAGATCCTTGAGCTTCGTGCAGAACATGGTGTTGGTGTCTCTTACCCTGCTGCGATCTCCTCCTGATGAGCTGTAGTTCTTATATGAGACTGACAAACAGAAGCCACTATCAATTCAAGGACACTGGTAACTGGGATGTCTATGGACAGCAAAAAGTCAGAACAGAAAGAGGAGTGACTTTATGCACGGATGAAAACAGAAAAAGACAGGTGAGCAAAAGCAATAGTCATGTCATTCTCAAGTTAAAAAAATTCTGCTGGAAATGCCAATTATAAAATGAGCAGGACATTTGGCAAAGATCTTTACTTAATATGTGTGAATTTCACAATATTAGCAAAATACTTCCTCTTACTATTTTAACTTTTAAAATAAAATATATTTTTCCAAAATGTTCTTAGCATCAACTACTGATTTCCATTTTTTACACTCATCTGGTCCAGTTTGATTTCACAAGAGTGGAACACCACGGTTTTATGACAAAAGCCACATCTAAGTTTATGTTTTATTCATGCTTGTACTACTACATTCTCATTATGCTCTCCTTTCTGAAAAGTCAGAACAGTAAAAACCAATGGCTTCCAAAAATACCTAAAGCAAAACAATATGTATAATGATCCCCAAGTATATGTTTTCAGATTTGAAACACCAACTTAGAAAAAAAAAGTTCAATGAAAAAAAGTTCAATGAAGATGATTATGGCAAAAGAAAAATTTTATCACTTTAAATGGTAAAGCAATTTAAAAATATTATCATCAAAATGAAAAAAACATCAGAACTCCTGATCCCCAAGAACATACCATGGGATTTGCAGGGGTCTCTGGAAACAAATCTAGACTGCGGTGAGTCAAAGACTACCCCACTTCCCACTGAAATCATAAGCATCGCCATTCCAGCATATTTCCCCCAGTACTTTTGTTTTTGTTGATGCTGTGGTTGTAAATTCTCCCACAATTCACAACCCATTTATCATTAGCTATTTGTTACTGGAACTGTCAAGTTGTGAATTCAGTTCATCAACAATACTAATTATCTTGATTAACTGGGTCTACCAGCTATTTCCTACTCTTGGGGAAGAAAAACAAAGAGTGGAAAAGAACCCATATTTGCTAATCCCCACATGTACTAAGTACTATGTGCCTGACACAGTGCTGGGAACTCTATGTTTACAATTAATCCTCACAGCAACCACATAACACAGGTATTATTATCCCCAATGGGTGAGAAGCTCAAAAGTTTAGGTAGTTTTCTCTCATTTCAAATGCTAGAGAATGACTGAACTAGGGTTCAAATGCAGATTCAGCTGACTCCAAAGCCAATGTGTTTTCTATAACTCCAAACTAATATTACTAAATTAGAGCAGTTTCTACACAATCGGGCTTTGTTAATCAACTTAGATTTTTATCTTCAAAATATGGTTTACAAATTTATATTAAAATTCAGTGAGGAACATAATTTCCTGTTCATTGGCTAGTGGTATCTGAAACATCCAAGATTCAGCCTTATATTTGAATCTTTAGAGTTGAAGTTCAATTAGGTTTTTTTTTTTTATTTTCTATGCTCCTCAATGCCCTTAATATGTTCCCATAAGCAACAGCCTGTAAATTGTCACATGTAAGTCATCTAATAAGTTTAGAACAATGAACAACTCATTTTCTGAACTGGGACAAACAAGGAAGCTAAATTCAGTATCTGATCCCCATGGGATGTCATGGGACATTAGGTATAGAGGAAGATTATGGATGCTGGCAGGCCAGAAGAAGCTGCCAAGGCTCTGTTACCTAAAGTTATAAACAAAATCTATGCTCATATATAATTTATGGAACTTCAAGAAGGGACAAAAGAAAATCCTATGCATTTATGAGTAGAAAATTTGTTCTGCCAGAACAGAATGGAAGCGGTCTACCTCAATAGACTACTGAAGTGGTCCAAAGGTAATATGGCTATAGGGGGAATGATTACTTAGGTTCTACAAAACCTAAATATCTAATAATTTTACCCACATTTGTTTTGGGACTTAATGTAATAAATATTTGTTTCTTAGTCTTTACTACATCTCAACATAATTCTATTATTGTTTAATAACTTCTCTTCTGATTTAAGCTTCAAATCAATGATCAGCTTTAAGCTTTAAAAGTGCTTTAACCTTTTCTGTAAAGGGCCTGAGAATAGATACTGTCAGCTTTGCAGGTTACATGGTCTTTATTGCAAGTATTCAACCCTACCATTGCAGTGTGAAGCCAGCCAGAGATGATATACAAATGAATGGGCACAGATGTGTTCCAATACAACCTTGTTTGTAAAAGCAGACTGTGAACATAGCCAGTAGTTTGCTGACCCCTGGTTGTAGAAAACCGAGTATATTAACTAAAGCATTTTAATTAAAATATAATTTTGACTATAGGAGCAAAGTTATTTCCTCATCTCCTCTAGTCACTCCTCTCCAAAAATAACAGCCTACGCAGGTCCAGTTTTGGTTGGGGTTGGGGAGCTTGGAGAGTTTTTTTCATTATTATTAGTAGAGAAAAGGTCTCACTATGTTACCCAGGCTGGTCTGTAACTCCTGGGCTCAAGCAATCCTCCTGCCCTGGCTTCACAAAGTGCTGGAATTACAGGCATGAGCCACTGTGCCTGGCTGGGATCCAGTTTTTGAACAACTTCAAAGTAATCAAAAAGAGTGTAATAGATAATACTAAATAACTATTTATACAAATAATAGTACCACTATTTTGTATTAATTTTCAGGGAAAAGAGCTTTATTAACTGAATGCCACTATTTCAGTTATATCAAAATCTAACTACAATAACTAGCAAAAAAGGGTACATAAAAACAAAAGGAAGACAATAAGAAATGGAAGATTATAGGTTAGGTCTGAGGATGGCATAGAATTATTACTAAAACGAATTATTCTGGTATATATTAGAATTTTAGTATTGGACTTAGAAGTTTGCCATAATATAGTTTATAATAGATCTTTCCATTAAACTTAACTCTCTCATTCACATTGGATTTCAACGCTGGTACCCAAGCCCAATATTTTAATTCTTATCTTCCTACTGAATCCAGCTGCAGTAGAATACAATTGACCAGTCAACCTTCCTTGAAATAATTTCTTTTCCTGTACTGCACGGTACTATAATTTCCAGGAAATAAGCCGAACAGTGTTTTTTATTAAAGCAAAAACAGCCAACAGGAAGTAAGTTGTGCTTACTTTAAGATAGTTAAGTGTTTAGTCTCATTAAATTACATATGTATAAACAAACTAATTAGCATTCTTCATCTGCTCAACTGATGAAATTACACTATGAAGCAGATGCACGCAGTGTTGATACCTTGGAAACCTGTTTGTCTTGCTTTTGCCTGCCAGGAATACAGAATACAGAATATTCCTGGCAGGCAAAAGATTGTTCCTCAAGTAAACTAGTGATGATTTTTATGGGTAACGTTAGCAGTAACTTCAGAAATGGTTTGGTCAGTGGGTGAATTCAGTACATAGTTGGTTGTAGAGATGGTAGTAACATGGTAAGGGAAAAACAAATAAATTAAAATAATAAATTTGGCGACAGGCCTTGGCAAGAAGTGGAATAATATGTTCTCAGAAACTTGAAGAGGTACTTCTCATTCCAAAAGTTGATAATTAAACAGCCTCCAAATAAACTTAATGCTCACTCTCTTTTTACTAGTGAGTGATTAACTTTGCCGTGGTGAGAATAATGACCCAGCTACTGGCCTAGTATTAATAACAGGGACAGATTATTGTGCAAGTAAGGCAACCCTCAATCATTTAAACTCTAGAATTTAAAATTTAATGAAGCATGAACTTTTTTTTTTTTTGTTGGAGACAGAGTCTCACTCTGTCATCCAGGCTGGAGTGCAGTGGCATGATCTTGGATCACTGAAACCTCCGCCTCCTGGGCTCAAGCAATTCTTCTGCCTCAGCCTCCCAAGTAGCTGGGATTACAGGTGGCAGCCACCATGCCCAGCTAATTTTTGTATTTTTAGTAGAGATGGGGTTTCGCCATGCTGGCCAGGCTGGTCTCGAACTCCTGACCTCAGGTGATCCACGTGCCTCAGTCTCCCAAAGCACTGGGATTACAGACGTGAGCCACCATGCCCATCCTAGAATTCAATTAGGCATGAACATCTTGTTTACTACATGTAACAAGATCATGTAGACATGTAACAATATCATGTAAGGAAAACACCCCTTACCACACTCTCTGGCACTGATACACTTTTCTCCAAAAGCAGGTCTTAAGGAGCAGATGAAAAGTTAGAAAAAGACACTTTTCAAAAGAAGGCATACATGTGACCAACAGTCATGTGAAAAGAAGCTCAACATCACTGCTCATTAGAGAAATGCAAATCAAAAACCACAATGAGATACCATCTAACACCAGTCAGAATGGCTATTATTACAAAGTCAAAAAATAACAGATGCTGAGAAGGTTGTGGAGAAAAAGGAATGCTTTTTAATTTACACTCTTCGTGGGAGTGTAAATTACTTCAGCCATTGTGGAAGAGAGTGTGGCAATTCCTCAAAGACCTAAAGACAGAAATACCATTTGACCCAGCAATCCTACTACTAGGTATACACCCAAAAGAATATAAATCATTCTATTATAAAGACACATGCACACGTATGTTTGTTGGAACACTATTCACAATAGTAAAACATGGAATCAACCTAATTGCCCATCAATGATAAACTGGATAAAGAAAATGTCGTACATATACACCATGGAATAATATGTAGTTATAAAAAAGAATGAGATCATGTCCTTTGCAGGAAGATGGATGGAGCTGGAGGCCATTATCCTGGGCAAACTAACCCAGGAACAGAAAACCAAACACCGCATGTTCTCACTTATAAGTGAGAGCTAAACAATGAGAACGCATGGACACATAGAGGGGAACAACACTCACTGGGGCCTTTTGGACTGTAAAGGGTGAAAGGAGGGAGGGGATCAAGAAAAATAACTAATGGGTACTAGGCTTAAAACCTGGCTGATGAAATAATCTGTGCAACAAACTCCCATGACACAAGTTTACTTATGTAACAAACTGCACTTGTACCCCTAAACTTAAAATAAAAGTTGAAATAAATAAATAATAAAAAAATCGAAAAAAGTTACAGGGAAGAGGCAAGCCTAAAAATTATGTATCCATCACAAAAGCAATTAGCTGTATCAAATGTCTACCATCATACCTGGTACCTGGACATGCCAATATCTGTGATTAAAAAGATATGAGCTTTTTAAGATTAAACTTGAAAGTCCAGATTTTTAAGAGTAGCCAAAAGGAGGAGAAAACTTAAAAGCAAATTGCCTTAGTAAGGATAAAGTTTGTATACTTCAGTACAAATTGTAACAACTATTTTCATAAATAAGGAAAAAGGCTTAATTTTCAGGTAGACTGAAAACTTAGAAAGTTTTCCTTACTCAAAAATTGAAAAATATTACATAAAATCCCATAAACCAGTCTTTTAAAATAGGTTTCTTTTCACTTTGTAGTAGGAAATGTTTATAGAACTTTCCCTGTGGTATATCAGGAAAGCAGGACAAAGTAGTAGAAAAATTGGTGAGCATGTCCAATTCTCTCTGCCACAAAGTTAAAAAGAGACAAACAAATCTCAGACTCCTTCATCCCATCATTCCTCTCTAGCACTACCATTCTCCCTTTATTGTTACTCTTTTTGAAAGGTTGGCTTTATGGGCTGTGTTCATTTCCTTACATCATATTTATTCTTAAGTTCAAAACCATCTGGCTTTTGCTTTAGTATGTTACTGATATCTCTTTATTAAATTTGATGATGCCTAAAAGTCAAAGCTCAAGACTCTTTTGGCTTTTAACATAAATTCTCCATTCATCTGCATTTTCTTTTTAATAATTTTGATTCCAATAGATTCTTTGGTATTACTGGATTGTCTTCTACATCATTCACGCATTCATGCACTTGTTCATTTTTCTTCCTATTCAACAAATATTTACGAAGGTCTTGCTCTGTGCCAGGCATTTTTCTAGACACAAGGTCAGAGTGATGTGTAAAGAACACCCCTTGCTCTCAAGAACTTACAATCCAGGAGGAAAACTATTTCTGATGTATCAGTTCCAAGGGTGGCCTCTGCTGCAAAAAGGGGAGGGATATAGTGCTCTGGGAATGTAAATCAGAGATCTGAACCTAGTCCTCTCAGAAACATCTGAGCTGCGTCAGGCCAAGAGAGTTCCAGAAAGAACAGCATGCTTGGGAGCCAATGTTCTAGGAACAGAAGTAATTCCAGTGTAGCAAAGGCATGAATGAGGTTAAGACAGAGCAAGATAATGGTGGTGAGAGACAAAATAGACAGAGGTCAGGATTTTGCAGAGTTCTACAAACCGCATTAAACAAGATAATACTCTATTCTAAGGGCAATCAACTAAATAACTAATAAGCAAGAGAGTAAGTGAATTAGACTGCATTTTTAGAAGATTATTTGGAATGTAGAATGAAAAATGGGTCAGAGTAGGACAGATGGTAGATCTGGGTTGGGCAAAAACAGGACCCTGGGGGGAAAAAATGAATCAATTGCAGAAGTAATTCTGAGAGAGAATCCGCAGGCCTGGGCTACTGACTGGGTGTGGGGACCAAAGCAGAGGGAAGACACATTCCTCTGACTTTACTTCTCAATATCCCAGCCAAGGAAAAACTCTAGGGACCATAGTGCACAATCAAAATAGTCCATAATACATTTCCCATGACTCTGGTTATTCAATCTTAACCAAGCCTAGAGCTTGGATTTCTAATATTATATAACACCTTGTGGGAGTTAGGTTACTCCAATTCTTCTGTTAAAATCTCATTTTGGGAAGCAATTTCTCCTTGTTCAAAAGCCCAGTAATTGTTCACTCCAATTTCTATTACTGAGTAGGGCATTCACCTTCCTAACGGACTGCATCTACATGTAAGTGTGAGCTGTCTCAAGCTATTTTTAAAGAGGAGGATGCTTACCTTAAATTTTTGTAACTCAAGAGCCCATACTGATGATTCTCCCAAAACAGAGAGGTCAACTCTAAAGACAACGGCAACCTCACTTTCAATAATCATATTGGAGTGCCCCTGCCCCCCGACTCGCCGGGTGGCAACCGCCTTGATAAAACTACAGTACTGGACACAAATTGTGTTTAATAAGCTGCATTAAATCTTTATTTAAAATAAGATGAGTGCAATCTACAATCTTTTAAAATTAGATTTAAGAGGCAATTCTGTGGCATCTTTGAAATAATAGCAAAATTCAGTACACTCAACTCTATAGTAGGGAGATTTTAAGTATTCAAATTCACATTTTGTTTCTCAGTTTTTATCAAAGTATTTACAGAATGTTTTATAACTAATTTAAGAGAAAAACCTTTGGGATTATAAATCCTAAAATATATTTTAAAAACTCTCCCGTGTGATGACTACAATTTGAATACATGCAGTTAAACATCTTCAAATTAAGTATCATCACTACTTATGATGCATCATGCTGATCATGAGGAAATCAGATAAACTTTTCAACCAATTTTCCCTAAAATATATAAAACAATTTCTTGCATCTTTTTCTATGATTCTCATCATAGTTACATTGCTAAAATAGTTCCTTGCAGAGGCTTAGTCACTTTAAAATATACTTACTGAAAATATAGTAATGATTATGAAATGAGTTAAGGAAGAAATGTAATTCCTTTTTACTCTGTAAAAAGCCATTTTGTTTTTATCTGTTTTCAAATAAGTACTGTACATTTCAGGAATGTCAATTGGCTCAGGCACATCTATCGCTAGGGAAATAATGTCAGGATAAAATGCAGGCATGCTAGATCCCCTTTGCTCCCCATTCTTCCTCTTAGCCCAGTCTGACCATATGCTCTGTCGTAGAAGTACTGTTGGACAATTTTCCTGTATTTTTCTCTTGTCTCCATAACTCAGCAGACTCAAGGCTGTCTTATAGTTCTTTCCTACCAACTACTTTCACTTTTTTCCCCTTAGGTCAAGGCCTACAATTGCTGAGGTGCAGTATTCATTAGAATTCAATGTATCTTTTAACTAAACTTTTATATTTTGGGGATTTTGTTTTGTTTTGTTTTTTTTCTTTTTTGCTTTTGTTAGTGCTCGTAAGCATTGAATGATTTCACTCAAACACATTTTTTCCCTAAGTCCTTTTATTTTTAGTGCACAGTTTTGAAGCATATGAGGTTTTCCAAGAACATCTATGCTGTGTTATATCAGAAATACTCCTACACTAATCAATGTTTGATTTAAATTTGCATATAAGGTGAAAAGCCAACCTACCAACCTGGAAGAAACACTCAACAAGATCACATTTTCTGAGACTCCACAGAGTACATTATAATTTAGGTAAAATAATCTGATGAAACTTTTAAAGTGACAACAAATCCTTGATTAAATAATTGGGCTAATTGATAGATTTCTTTTAGGTGACATAATGAACTTGATGATTACATGACATCATAATTTCTCCTCTTTTAAATTTTGGTCAGGCAGGAAGGCCTGGAAGTAAAGTAAAACCTCTACATCCTTGATGTAGAGACATACATAAACACACACACATACATACATACTTACATACACACACCCTTATTTTCCCTCTTCTGTAATGATGAGTTTTTTTTTTTTTTTGTTTGTTTGTTTGTTTGAGGAGTCTCGCTCTGTCGCCCAGGCTGGAGTGCAGTGGTGCGATCTCGGCTCACTGCAAGCTCCACCTCCCGGGTTCACGCCATTCTCCTGCCTCAGCCTCCCGAGCAGCTGGGACTACAGGCGCCCGCCACCACGCCAGGCTAATTTTTTTTTTTGTATTTTTAGTAGAGACGGGGTTTCACTGTGTCAGCCAGGATGGTCTCGATCTCCTGACCTCATGATCCGCCCACTTCGGCCTCCCAAAGTGCTGGGATTACAGATGTGAGCCACCGCACCCGGCCCTGTAATGGTGAGTTTTTAAGTGCCTGATGTCTCATGTCTCATGCAGATAATTAGCATGACAGAGACTTCATAATTTGGAGGGTTGGGTTCACATAAATGTAGGTGCCATGCCCAGTTGTTCCCTGAGGCAGTGGAGTTGGCGTAGCAGTTAAAAGCTTAGGCTACATGAACAGATGGCCTGTGTTTGCTCCCTGCGTCTACCATGTGCTAACTCTGCGACATTAGTGAAGTTCTTAACTGAACTTCACCTCAATTTTCTCCATCTGAAAAATAAGGATAATAATAGCAACTATCTCATAAATGTGTTGTGAGATTAAACAAAGCAATAAATAGAAAGCACTTAGAAAAGCACTGCTACCCAGTATGGGAGGAATACATGTTGACTATCACAAATGCTACTCGGTGGTAGTGTGACATTGGACAAGTTTCATAACTTCATGAATTCTGTTATTTCACACATAAAATGGTAAAGTCATGATGTAACAGATTCAAATTAAGAATTTGGAATAATATATATAAAGTGCCTGGTCTTGCCTAGCATCCATAGGTCCATAATTTTTTTAAAAAAAGATAAAAGTCCAGTCTTGGATCAAGTCTTCAGTCACTTGCCTTACGAAAGCTGTGATGCTTCTTCTACTAGAGCTCTAGGCAACTTTTTATAACAGGAAAAAAATGATCAGTGTCTCCTTGATAACTTCAGAGCAACCCTAAAATTTTTTTTTGGTACATACAACCAAATGTAAATGCTCATTGCATACTACAAGAAAATTGTGCTGACATAAGTTATTAAATAAATGATTGACAATTTTATTCTAGCTTCTCAGAAAGATTCCTTAATGTTTTATACTTATGAAACCATTTTTTTCATGCATCAAAGCTTGTTTAAGGGAACTCTAATAATATATCCAATGCTCATTATCCTACAAATATAGAAAGCAATCTTTACTTGATGAGCATTAGAGAATATACCAAGAAAGTTATATCTAAGTCAACAGTTCTTTTTATTGAACTAAAAAATTATAGAATTTGCAGCACAGCTTAGAGCAGAAAGATTCTATTTTGGTTTTATCTTATCTAATTCTATTATATAATAAGTTGCATGTCTAATTCCTTTAATGAAATATTAGAATATAAAAACTGGGTGACTATGTTGAATTTTAAACCTCATTTTCTACTCGTTAAGCCAAAACTATTTTATAAATCAAGCAAGCCTTATGCCATTGCACTACTCACTATTTTTTATTAATTCATATTATTCCCAATGTGGAAATTTGAAAACAAAACAAAATCTCATAACAACCAAACTTAAATAGAAATCCTGTGGTATCTGATTTTATTTTCCCAGAATGCCATATTGGGAAATGATTAGTATTTGTTATACAAGGAATCCTGTCTCTAATTATTGCTTTTATAAGCTAACTGTTCTTCTAAATATGGATTCAGTGATAATTCTTTTTTTTGAGACGGAGTCTCGCTCTGTAGCCCAGGCTGGAGTGCAGTGGCACACTCCTGGCTCACTGCAACCTCTGCCTCCCGGGTTCAAGTCATTCTCCTGCTTCAGCCTCCTGAGTAGCTGGGACAACAGGCGCACGCCACCACGCCCGGCTAATTTTTTTTTTTGTATTTTAGTAGAGACTAGGTTTCACCGTGTTGCCCAGGCTGGTCACGAACTCCTGAACTCAGGCAATCCACCCACCTTGGCCTCCCAAAGTGTTGGGATTACAGGTATGAGCCATCACGCCTGGCCAATAATTCTTTTATCTACTTACTTTCTCAATGTTAGTTTGGTGGAAAGGTTTAGGTTGTGAGCAGGTAGAGGTGAGACACTAATTGGCATGTTCACTTTAAGATATTTGTGCAAACAAGATAGGTCACCCAGAGTCCAGTTAAAGTAAGAGACACAGGGATTCCTGACAAAAGTGAAGTGACTCTGGGATTGACCTGTGGAACACTTGAATTACCTTTCTGAGCAATGAGGAGATACCAAGGTCAATTCATCCTTGATGGGAAGGAAGGAGTGACCTTGTGAGTACAGAACTCACCGAATGGTAGGGGAAAGACAAACTGGCTGGACTCTAACTTGTCATATTTGGAAAGAAGATTCTGGAATAAGAGACACTAGTGACTCTCACAGTTCTTCTAATCCAGCCTTTGGAAATTTTTCCAAGCTCTTTGAGAGAAAGGACAAGAAACTTATACAGCTATGAAAAATTAAGACATCTATGCAATGCTGGAGATAGAATCTTACCAAACCTAATCAAGAACACATTAATGGAGAAGTATAGGCCTGGCTACAGAAAGAACAGCAAAGAGAAAAAAAAAAAAAAAAAAAAAAAACACAAGGAGAACAAGAACAGATGCATCAATGGAGGCGGTTCAGGCGGTGGAGGAGCTGCGGAAGCTGGAGCAGGGCTGAGAGGGTCAGACAAAGCTAAGCTGTCATGCAGGAGAACACCAGGAGCTCAGTGATACATGAGCATTATATGAGACCTAAATTTCTATGTCCATAAATAAACTTTTATTGGAGCACAACCACACCCACTCATTTATGCACTGTCTATGGCTACTGTGTTCAAACTGTGCAGTTGAGTAACTGCTATGGAGGTCACATGACTGGCAAAGCCTTAAGTAGCTACTATCTTGTCCTTGATGGGGTCTGTTGACTGACTCCTGCTTTAAAGAGCTGTTGGGGACATCACATACATTATCTTATTTAATCTTCACAACAATCTTATGGGAAGGGTGTGTGAGTGTGTGTTTGTGTATTTTAGTATTTTTTACACAAGAAGAATCTGAAACATCGATCATGTAACTTGTCCTTGGCCATAGCTGGTGAGTGGCAGAAACAGGAAATGAACCCAACCCTATCTAACTACAGAGCTCCTGCTGTGGAGCTGCCTTGAGAAACCAGGAGCTTTTGACATATCATGGTGATTATTATTCAAGTTCCCCTACTAAAAAATGTAATCTGGGAAAACAAAGACTAAATTGTATCTGTTAAATTAGTGTACAGAATAAAATGAAAGATCAGGTTGTTGGGCATGTCAATTAAGGTAATGAAGTTTAGATATTCCCAAAATGAAGGCATGAGAGATGCTTCCAGGGTCCCAGTGAACTCTAAGGAGACTCCCTTTGAAAACTTCACTTTGAGCCTCTCTAGTTTTAGGCATCAGAGAAGAATTGAAAGGCAGCTAAAAAGGCTGTTGGTGTCTCTGCCACATTTAAAGGATCTTTACAACAAAGCCAAGGGATAAACTTTGGCAAAGTACGTTTCTCAGAGAAATTTTCTTTTATGACCCCAGAGAAAAGGCTCATAAAAGTGAAGTGTGAGATTCGAGGCCTGGAGACTCAGCAGATGTTTCTTTGGAGGTGGCCCAGGGGACCAGGCTACTAAGGTATTAGTAATTGATGGGTAGTCAGGTACCTTTTCTAGTTTTCTGACCAGCAGTAAAGCTCTTTCTGATTCTTAAGACAGGAAATGAACTTTTGTCATAACACTGGGACACAGATCCTTGATGCTTATGCTGGAATCAGGTTAGCAAAAGACGTGGCAAATTCCAACACAAACTCAATTCTGCCAAGTTTTTACATAATGATTAGTTTAGAAGAATCATTACCAGAAATGAATTTGGACTTCTGAACATATACTTTGCAGGTATATATTTGGATGCTTGCAAAGTCCATATTGAGAAAGGCTGAGTCTTTTCCCATTAAATCCAAACCCACAACTATATTCTTTTAATGCCTCTGCCATCTAATTGATTCAAAATAGAGAAAATTTAAAGAAATACCAAACAATTTTTCCTATTCATTTCAGTACCTCTTACATAAAAGTCAATATAAAGACAGAGTCATTTGCATAATAGGAGTTTAGAACTGGAAGAGGAGTTAGAGATTATTTATTGCAGTCCCTTCCATTTGCAGATGACAGAGTGCAGACTTCAGTGATGTGGCTCAAACCCCAAAGCTCAGGAGGTGTATAGGTGTATTGAGTTCACCCAATATACCCTGATGACCTCCTCTACTGAAAATGCTGAGAAGCCCTCCTTTCTTTGTGGACCACCAGCCACTGCAGGGAATACTTTGAGAAAACTTGAAAACTTAGTTATCTGAATTCAAATTTCACACTTCATCATCTTTTGAGGGTTAACATAACTACTTCATCTCAGACCAATCAGAAGATTACCTTTCGTCTATATATCATGCTAATATTAACATACATTATAAAATTGCTTTCACTGTCTACAGTTCCTAAAATGTTGCCCCAGACTCTTTTTCATAATTTTCTCATCTTCTTTTGCACTTTCTTGAGAAACTATCTTTTAGTCCCTTTTCAAATCTCTAAACACATTTTCTAAATAACTTTCCTCATTATCTTGTCTTTGTCACTTAATCAAGTTTGCTATTTTCCAGCCTTAATCAAACCAGCCAATGCAGGTCACAGTTTATCCAACTTTGGGACTGCCAATAATTATTTTCTGCTGAAATTGAAAGAACTACTGGCTCTGAGTCATCTGGTATAAACACGGAAGTGACATAGATAGGCTAACTAAATTGTTATTATTAAATTTATTCAATTTTTTTCCATTTATTTTCCCTGGATTCTTTGTATGTGAAGACACAAACACACCTCTGTAAATGACACACAATTTGACAAGCCATTTTTTTTGTTTTCCTATATATTCTCTTTTTCTATTTTACTTATTATTAGTGTTGTTTTTCAACTTTTTTCAGAAAAAGTGAAATCTCACTATACATAGAGTTTATGCATTTCCAAGGTCTGTGCTTGATAAAGAAATCAACAATGCTCATGTAATTTCCTATCCTCCTTTTGCACTTTGCTGTGAAATCAGCTAAATGAAAAACCATCCATGTTTCTATACTTGACTGCCTTATCAGAAACACTCAGCACAGAATCATCCATCATTTGGCCACTCAATTAATATTAACTAATCTCAATAAAATATATTAATATTAGGCTATTAGCTATAATCAATATAGGGGGCAAAACATGAACCAGAAAAAACATAAAATACAAATAAAAGAAAGCTAAATCAGAGTTTCTAAAATGTCTTGCTTATTGGAAATACATTTTAAAATGAGTTGTCAGTAGATCCATTTATAATTCAATCAAAATTTACTGTTTCATAAAAGGACAAAAAATATTCCTTTCTTTAATTTTCTTCAAAGCCTGATATGAGTGGGGTATATACACACACACACACACACACACACACACACTGAATTTTCTTTTCTTTTTTTTTCTTTTGAGATGGAGTCTCACTCTATTGCCCAGGCTGGAGTGCAGTGGCATGATCTCGGCTCACTGCAACCTCCACCTCCCGGTTTCAAGCGATTCTCCGGCCTCAGCCTCCTGTGTAGTTGGGATTACAGGCACACACCACCACGCCCAGCTAATGCTTTTGTATTTTTAGTAGAGACAGGGTTTCACCATGTTGGTCAGGCTCGAACTCCTAACCTCGTGATCCGCCCCGCTCAGCCTCCCAAAGTGCTGGAATTACAGGCATGAGCCACCGTGCCCAGTCGAATTTTCTTATGTATATATAAGAAATTTTATTAAATAGCTAATGGCTACAATAAAAAGGGAGAATAAGTAAAGATAGAGAGTTAAAACTGTTTATAAGAAATATCAGATTTAGGCGGTGGTGGCAAAAGAATCATCAGGGAAGCCTTCTTGGAATGTACAGAATTTGAGCTTATTTTTTTAAATGACTAAGTTCTGAAAATTAAGATTTTGGCAAGGGGCACGCCACAGAGAAAGAACAGTGTAAGTGAAAGCAAGAAATGAAGGAAATTGTGGGAAAGAGGCAGGAAAAGATGGCTACTAGAGATATTATAAAATTAAAGTTGGCATGATGTGGCAACTCACTAGATCTGAGGAATAGAATGACTCTGAAGTTTTGTGTAGAAAGATATAGCACCGTTCATGGAAACAGGTAACAGAAACAGAGCAGTAGGCCTGAGAGAAAGGATGTTGAATTTGTTTTAGATACATGGATCTTGAACTGAGGTAGCAGGGAATCTAGGGTGGAGGTGCTTTTGAAAATCGGAGTATTTACTTCAGAAATGTGTAACAGATTAGAGATGAATTTGTGCTCCTCCCCATAGCAGAAACCATTATAGTCAGGAGTTTAACTAAAACTGTTTAAGATCAAGAGGCTACATATATAGAGAGAAGATAACCAAATTTAGAACTCCAGGGAATCCTCATGTTTAAGGACTGGAGAAAGTATTATGACTATGACAGAGAAGCAGCAATTAGAAAAGTACAATGAGAATGAATATGAAAGAGGACACGTGTTCGAAAAGAAGTGTATGTCACAAGTCTGAAGAGGGTAAGGAGGACTGAGAAAATATCATTTGATTTTTAAATTAGAAAGATGTTTATGGCTTTTAAGGCAAAATTTTGAATAAGAATAGTAGACTGAAAGTGGAAGAAAATAAGGAGTTATAGTGATAAAGTACTACACTGTAACTGAGTACAGATTACATTAAGATCTGTGGATTGGGAAACAGCAAGTTTGAAAGAAGGATTGTGAGGATATGAAATCCTTTTCTTTTGTTACCTATATTTGTAGCTTTCTGTAAATAGAAATACTTACTATACAGAGCACAAAAGTTAGCTCAAAGTACAGGGTCTTTGACTTCTGGTTAAATTGCAGAAAGTCACAAGAGACTCCCACTCCAACACTAATAATGAGAACAAGTGAGACAAGCTCTGCAATCATAATTTTTTTAACCCATCAGAAAGCATCTATGAAAACTATAATTATTGAGTCATACTTGATGATGAAAGACTGAACACTTTTCCACTATTATTCAGGACCAAGCAAAGATGCCTGCTCTCACCACTTCTAATCAATATTGTACAGAAGTTAGGTCCTAGCCATTGCAATCAGTTAAACAAAAGGCCAAAAGGTTGCAGGTTTATGTGCACGTGTGTGTGTGTGTGCATGTGTGTGTGTGTGTGCATGTGTGTGTGTGTGTGTGTGTGTGTATCCAATCGACCCTTGAACAACACAGATTCAAACTCCATGGGTCCACTCATATGCAAATTTTCTTCTGCCTCTGCCATCCCAGATGTAGCAAAACCAACCCCTTATCTTCTTCTTCCTCCTCCTGCTCAAAATGAAGACAACGAGGGTGAAGATTTTTTATAATGACCCACTTGCACTTAATAAATGGTAAATATATTTTCTCTTCCTTTATGATTTTCTTTGTAACATTTTCTTTTCTCTAGCTTACTTTATTTTAAGAATACAGTATATAATACATGTCAATCAACTGTTTATGTTATCGGTAAAGCTTCCAGTCACCAGTAAGCTATTAGTAGTTAAGTTTTTGAGGAGTCAAAACTTTTATGTGGATTGTTGACTGTGCAGGAGTGTCAGTGCCCCAACCCCTGTGTTGTTCAAGGATCATACACATGCATGTGCACACACACACACACACACACACATATACTTAAAATTGTTCATGTAGGAATTCCCAGTGGATATACAAAATAACTAGAACTAAGAAGTAAATTAAGCAATGTTTCAGGATACAAGACTGATATACAAAATTCCATTATAACTTCTGTACTAGCCACAAATACTGGAAAATAATTATTTTAAAAACTCATTTATGATACTGTTAATAAATACTTAGCAATAAATCTAACCAAAGGCTTACAAGACTTTTACACTGAAAACTACGAACATTCACGAGATAAATTAAGGAAGGTCTAAATATATGGAGAGATATATACCATGTATAATATTGTTAAGGTACAAATTTTCTCTAAACTGGTTTATAGATTCAATGCAATTCCAATCAACATCTCAGCCATCATTTTAGTAAAAATTGACAAAATGAGGCTAAGATTTCATTGATGACATAGGATAGCCAAATTAATATTAAAGAAGAAAAAATAGCACTGAAGGACTTATATACCTGCTTCAAAACTTAAAAAGTTAAAGTAATCAAGAAAGTGAGGTATCAGTTTGAAAGGGGTGACAAAGAGATCAATGAGATAGAGATCCACAATTGTGTTTACAACAAAGGTGTCAAGGCAATAAAATCAGGAAAGAAAATATGTTTGTTTGTTTTTTAATAAAAATGCCATTGGAACAACTGGAAATCCATATAGAAATAGAAATAAACTTTTATCCACACATCATACCATATACAAAAATTAAATCTTAATGGACCATGCCATGGTTTGGATATTCGAACCTTCCAAACTTTATGTTGAAATCTAATCTTCAGTGTTGAATGTGGAGTGAAATGGGAGATGTTTGAGTCATTGGGCAGATCCCTCATGAATGACTTGGCACCGTTCTCACGATAGCCAGTGAGTTCTTGCTCTACTAGTTCCTTCAAGAGCTGGCTGTTACACAAAAGCCTGGTGTCTCCTCTCTCTCTCCCTCGCTTCCTCTCTCTCTCAGTAATCTCTGCACACGCTGGCTCCCCTTCACCTTCTGCCATGAGTGGAAGCAGCCTCATGCTCTCACTAGAAGCAAATGCTGGTGCCATGCTTCCTGCACAGCCTGCAGAACATTGAGCCAAATAAACCTCTTTTGTAAATAAATTATCCAACTTCGGGTATTCTTTTATAGCAAAATAAACAGACTACGACAAATCGTAAACCTAAGTACGAAAGTTACAACTATAAAACTTACAGAAGAAAACATAAAAGAAATTCTTTGTGACCAGGTTTGAAGCAAAGATGCTTAAATTTGAAAAAAAAAACATGAAATATTTAAAAAGAGCATGATAAAGTGGACTTCATCAAAATAAAAAAAATACTTTGGCTCTTCAAAAGACATTATTACATAAACAAAAACACAAGTCATATACTAGAAGAAAATATATGTAACACACAACAGCAAGGGAGTTTAATTCAGAATATACAGTTTTCCAACTCAGTAAGAAAATAAACAATTCCATTTTAAAATGGGCAAAACATCTGAATAGACAATCATTAAAGAAGGTATATAAACAGTCATAAACATTTCTTCATATGCTCAATATTATTAGTTATTAAACAAAAACCCATTAGAATGGCTAAAATTCTAGAGTTCAGCAATGTCAAGAGTTATTGGCAATGTGGAATAACTGGAAATCTCACAGATTACTGGTGGGAATGGAAAACAGTTTGGCAGTTTCTTAAAATGCTAGACATTCAACAAATGCTATTGTTTATAAGCAAAACTTGGGTAATTCACAAATCATCAGGAAAACTTGCAATGTGGGCAGAAAGGTTACCATAGTAATTACCATAGTAAGTAAAAGTGTGAACCCTCCCTGGCTACAAATACCGGTTCCATTATTAATTAAATGTATGACATTAGGCAAGTGACTTATCTACTCTGTGCATCATCCATTTTTTCATCTGTAGAACAGTGATGAGAATAGAACATTCCTCAAGGGATTTGATTAAAGTAATGCAGTTGTATTAATGCTTGGAATGTAAAATGTACCTAAGAAATGTTCACTATTATAAACTGGACTTGATATAAAATTATTGTAAAAACCTTTATGTTTACCTTGTTCAAGACACATTTGAGTTAAAGCAGCATTTCTCGAAATGTGGTTTGCAAACTCTTGGGGATGTCCTGAGACCTTTTCAGAGGATATGCATGGTCAGAACTATTTTCATAACAATATTCTAATATTATGCACCTTTTTCATTCTCATTCTCTCACAGATTGCAGCAGAGTTCTCCAGAGACTACATGACATGTGATGATGTAATCATTCTAATGGAATTTATATTTGTGTAGAATTTTCTAAATTAGTAGGTTTAAAGTATAAGTGTACATTTTTGGAGATTAACGCAGTTTGTTCTCAGAACTCTATTATTTTTCCTAACTATCAGTATACTTGTTATAATGTTTGTAATTTCATTATTGTCTAATAATTTATTATTTTGAAATCTTGAAGTTTTTCTTGGTCTTAAATGTAAACATAAGAAGTAATTCCACTTTGCTAATTTTTTATATAAACTTATTATTTTAGATTTTAATATTTATTCTAAGACCAAGTCTATTGATTTTTTCATATATATACATATATATATATTTTTGAAATGGAATCTCGCTCTGTCAGTCAGGCTGGAGTACAGTGGCACGAACTTGGCTCACTGCAACCTCCGCCTCCCAGGTTCAAACAGTTCTCCTGCCTCAGTTTCCAAAGTAGCTGGGATTACAGGCACCCACCACCATGCCCGGCTAATTTTTGTATTTTTCATAGAGATGGGGTTTCACCATGTTTGACCAGGCTGGTCTCGAACTCCTGACCTCAGGTGATCTGCCCACCTTGGCCTCCCAAAGTGCTGGGATTACAAGTGTGAGCCACGGTGCCCGGCCTGATTTTCTTCTTATATTTAAGGATGGATTCTTGGCTTAAAAAGAGGAAACTAGAACACTTTTTCAATCCACGGCTGCACTATCTAGGACTGCCATTGTGAGCTTATAGCTATCCAATACTTAAAACTTCCTGATGAGATCAGTGGTGATAGTCATGAAGGCTAACTTTTGACACTGTATAATGAAGTGTGTCACCATTTGGAAAATGTATAAATTTCAATGGACCAATATTTTCCAAATGACTGTGATCCTACATATAAGCTGATGAACAAAATCATGTATGAGTAAAGGATCCATTCCCAAGCATTCTTCAGGATCTTTCTCTTATAATCACATTACCTAATCTTCCCTTAGAATCTTTCATCAACTAATCTGATTATTTATTCACTCACTCATTCATTCACATATGCCAAAAATATTTATTAGGTACCTATTACTACATTCTAAAGGACGAAATTTCAGGGATTAAAAACAAAAACAAAGAAATAAAAACAATCCAATCCTAGTTCCTTAAGGAACGTTTTGAGTAAAGGTTGGGGCGGACAGACTTAGACCACACAAACTCAGTTCAGTGTGATGTCATGACAGGTTGTGATGGGGACATGAAGAATCTGCATGTGCCCCTGTACAGTACATTGGTAAACATGTCCCTGAAAACGTGACACTTAAGGTGAGCTTTGTAGAATAAATAGGAAATAGCGAGGCAGAGACAGCAAAGTAAGGCATTGCAGGAGCAGAAAAATAAATGCAAAAGACAAAGACTGGAAAACAAAAAAAGGTTGGGAATTAATTGCAGCTAAGACAACATGACCATAACACACTACTCAAGGAAGAGAATGATCAAGAATAAAGCTGCAGTCAGGCAGTAAAATACAGCTGTCAGATTACCCACTTAAGTGATAAACACTGCATGACTCCTACACCACTTAAAATGAGTTTTAACACACGCTCTGCAGCAAAAATTCTTGAGACTTACAATCACTGGCCAATTAGTATTTATCAAGGACAGTGAATGTAAATAGAAACACAGCCAAATACCTTTTCACTGTGTACAAAATAGACGGTGACAACATGCAACTACTAATTTCCAGGACGCGCTGAAACAGATCCAATGTTAAGATAAAAATAAACTAAAATGATTTTCCTCTGGTTTGATTTAGGTAGATAATCAAGGCCATAACATGCCGATGTGGAAAAATGTCCCAACCATCCCCAGGAATGAAGAAAACTAATAGGCAACAAAATTGTTAAAAAAAAAAAAAAAAAAACCAGCTCTTCTTAGGACATTCTTTGCTTTCTTTTGGTCTTCCTCTTTCTATTTAAGCCCTGTATTGTTGCCCAATACACCCTATTTAGGTCTCATTTTCTTATCTATGTCCCACATACTGAGCCTTTCAGTTTCCTTTTTCTCTTTACTTTAAAAAGCTATGTCCAAGTGTCATGCTCTTGATTGAAGGCAGAAAGACAACATAATAAAAGTAACCACTGCTATTGGGCAACCTCTTCATTGTGCTGCTCTTCACGGTAAAACAGGCATCTTATTGACTCCAGGAGACACTCCAAAAGATTGCATCAACCCAAAGGAGATTTAGGCCTTAGGACAGGACCAAGTGGGAGAGCAATTTTTGTGGAAGGTGGCCTTGTGATATCCCTCATATACAACTTTCTTGCTCTCAGCCAAGCCAGCAGGCAAGCCATAAAGCCATAGGTGGTAACCAGTCTAGGTTAAGATAAACTCTCACAGCTTCAAAGAGGAGGAGAGAGAGAAGAGAAGAAAAGCAGTGACTTTAATTAGGATAATTTGTTCTCCAAAGTATAAACTCTTATCAGGGCATATCACAGCTCTCCTACATACCACTGCTGGATTTTTGTTAGCATAAGATGAAACAACAAGGGCTTATGAATTATTCTGAGCCAGTGACACAGAAAATAAGCAGAAATAGATGCTGCGGTGTATTAAATTGTTATTTGGGATAGAGCTGGACAAAGAGGAATATGACTTACAATTAGTGACTACAAATATTTTAAAACATTAAAAGAAATAGAATTTTACCCAAAGACGTTTGTTTTCGCTGGGAAGCCTGCCTTTTGCTAATCATATTTACAAATGTATAGTGCTAATCTAATATATGGATATCTTGCTTTACAACTCATGTACTGACAATTTTATTGCATTTACCCAAATTTCCTTCAATGCTACATTTGTAACTCTCTAAATACTTCATATATAGTGCTAAAGATCTTGATATAACTTTATGCTCACAAATACACAATTTAAAAGTTTATGTTATACTATGGAATACTGAAACTCCTTGTCACTTATTTTATTAACTTAATAATGTAATAAAAACCACATATCATTTAACTGCTTATAATGAGCATATTTGAAGCTGCAAAGTGATATTGCAAATGGAGAAAAATAAGCAGCTAAAAATTCCAGTGCATATACTGTCACGTGCCAAATAACAATGTTTCTGTCAGCTATGGACCACATACACAATCATGTTCCCATATGTTTATAATGGGGCTGAAAAATTCCCATTCCTTAGTGACTGATAGCCATTGTAATGTCATAGCACAATGCATAACTGAAATGCTCGTGGAGATGTTCGTGCAGGCAAACCTACTGTGCTGCCAGTCATATAAAAAGCATAGTACATACAATTACCTACGGTATATAAAACTCGATAGTGATAATAAAGTACTATTTTATTGGTTTATGTATTTACTATATTATGCCTTTTATTGTTATTTTAGAGGGTACTAGTTTTACTTATAAAAATAAGTTAACCGTAAAACAGCCTCAGGCAGTTTCATCAGAAGGTATTCCAGAAGAAGGCATTGTATTCATAGGCGAGGACTGTTCCATGCTTGTTATTGTCCCTAAAGATCTTCCAGTGAGAAATGTGGCAGTGGAAGACAGTGAAACTGAAGATCCTGACCTTGTGTAGGTCCATGCTAAGGTGTGTGTTTTTGTCTTTATTTTTAATAAAAAAGCTTAAGATGTAAAAAGAAATAAATTTTAAAAATAGAAAAAATCTGTTAGAATAAGCATATAAAGAACGAAGATGCTGGACTTGTAATCTAACCCTTCTTTATTTTAAACATTTTTTTTTTACAAGTACTCTCCACATAACTTCACTGTTCCAAGTAGGCTCATGATAGCACATGTTTTCTTTGTTTCTTTGTTTCTTTCTTTCTTTCTTTTTTTTTTTTAGATGGAGTCTCGCTCTGTCGCCCAGGCTGGAGTGCAGTGGCGCAATCTTGGCTCACTGCAAACTCCACCTCCTGGGTTCAAGCAATTCTCTGCGTCAGCCTCCCGAATAGCTGGGATTACAGGCACCCACCACCATGCCCGGCTAATTTTTTGTATTTTTAGTAGAGACGGAGTTTCACTGTCTTGGCCAGGCTGGTCTTGAACTCCTGACCTTGTGATCTACCCGCCTCGGCCTCCCAAAGTGCTGGGATTACAGGCGTGAGCCACCACGCCCGGCCATAGCACACGTTTTCACTGAGTGCTTATGAGCCATTGAGCACTTGTATTAGATGACTGTGTATAAAATGGGGAACTAAACAGAAATGGTACCTCTCTCCACAAGTATCAGTATAATAGTAAAAATTCAGCAAGTAATTATTCATATCATAATAATTCTACAAAGGAAGCACAATGTGTTACAGGAAAACATAATAAGGCATGCAATTTAGGCTTGGAAGTTCAGGGAAAGGTTTTAAGAAGCAGAGCTTAGTTTGAGATCTACAAGATGTGTAGGTGTGGGCCCCACAAAGATTGAACAAGGGGAAACGAAAAGCTAGAAATGGAAAAGTGGTGTTCTCCACAAATAAATACTTCAAAGCTATGGCCTGGGAAGGCTCAGCATTACCCGTTCCGCCACACACAGGGTACACACACACACATCAAACACACACATGCACACCCACACACACATCTGATCCCTGCAGTGAATCCTTTCCTTTCCTCTGTCTAGAATACTCTTCCTACTGTTTGCCACATTTAAATCCTACAGGTCCTGTGATGTCCAACATCCTGATCTTGTTTTAAAACCTCAGCTAAGTCTTAGATTTCCTCTGGAAAGCCTTACTCAATATTTCCATCATACCGAACTCTCTTCCTTCTCCTAACTTCTTTAAAACTTATTAAAACTATTCTACAAATATTATGCTCATTGTTAAGTGCTGACATGTATAATTCTGAGACTATTTCTTGGTTTTGTTCATGCAGACTTTAAATTCCTTCAAGTCAAGGAGTGTGTGTCATAAACTTTGCTTTGTATCTTCCTCAGTGACAAGCATAATCCATAATAAACTTTATTGAGAGAAGTACAAAATAGTGGCTGAGTCTCTAAGAAGAGTGTTATAAAATATAAGACATAAAATAAGTTGAAGCTTATAAAAAAAAGAAAAAATGTCCTTTTAATTCTTGCTATGATTGCCAGATAAAGTGGTGATAATGGCATTTTTATTAGATATAGGAAGAGCACACTGGATAAAGATATTCAAATCACAGTACATGAACAAACAGGCAGAACTACTCTGCTCTTGTTTTGTTTCATATCCATTCCTTAAGAAAACAATATCCATACTTATAAAAGTAGAACAAAACTAAAAATAACAAAGGTCCAGCATGTAGAATGATAGCAAATATTCTAAATGAGTTTAAATCCATTAATTTGGAGAAATTACACTACAAAATATTGAAAGCATGTGTGGATAAAATAAAGGAATTGTTAAAGTCATCTTTAAAAATATTGTGATGAAGAGAAGTGTTGACAGAGTCCAACCATTGCCTCAATTTTCAAAATTGGGAAGGTGGATTCCATCAGCTATAATTTAGAGAGCTGGACATTAATTGCAGGTACTATTCCAAAGAGATGATTAAAAACATGGCATGCAAGCATTCAAAATGTGAAGTGCTGTTATCTACAAGATAAGGAGAGGTCACAGGAACCTATCCTTGTCAACTAACCTAGTTATCTCCTTTTGTTTTTAATAGCAGTTACTTGACATCTATTCTGCAGAAAGTGGAGACTCATTTCAGGGAGGAATTTGACCAAGTCTGTCTCAGTATACTCTCTTAAGTCACACAAAGGAATGTCAACTTCAAAGAGAGTTATTTGACTATATAACTGGTTGAACAGCCTTATAAAGAGGAATAATTTATGGACTAATGTAAAGCAGGAGTCTAACGTAAAGGACGGTGTCTAGGAATATGCCAAAGGTAGTTCCAGTTCAGCATTGTAGATAGTTACTTGGATGAAGATGTTAATTATATCCTGATCAAATCTGTTAATTCCTCTAAATTGGTGAAAATGGCTATTCTGTATCAAGGACTCAGAATCCAAGATGACCTTGACTTTCTGGAACAACAGGCTAACTAAAGGTAATGATTAAATTTAATTGCAGTAAGTATTTGTAAAAGTCCCAAATCAAGTGGCCAAACATAAAATTCGATGGGGAAAATAAGTGTATTTGCAGAAGAATGTGCAAAAAAGATACATAATTAAACAGTGTTGTATGAGTGCAAAAAAAAAACGGAGGGGGGAAGAGTAGAATAGATTTCAGGTTGATTTACTACATGATATCCAGAGAAGATAAATATATCAGAGGACAGTCCTCTATGTTAAACTCTGGGGATCACACTTTAATAAAAACAGAAGTGCATCCAAAAGAGAAAAGCCCTGGTAACAATGAGACTCTCAACCCATGGTAAATAAGCATGGGTTGAAGAAACTGAATATTATCTTAGACACTATTAAGAGTTGTTAGATGTAAAAGCATTTTCTATAAATACTCTAAGAGGTAAAAAATTAAAGATATAAATATTATAGAGACAAATTCGATAGCTGAATATAAGAAAAGAGTTCTTATGCTCACAGCTGGTCAAAGAAATGCTTACTGTATTCAAGATGAGTGTTGACAAATAATTTGCCCAAACTGACCTTAACATCCTCTGTGAATTAAAAAGTATGGTCCTCTGCTAAGAATGAAGAGTCTGGAGATAATCTGGGCAGACTAGAAAACCTGGAAAAATCCAGAATATGTACCATGGAGAATTTGATATGACATTAACTAAAAAAGAATAAAATAGCTGCACAAAGTATCCTCCAAGCTGACATTGGAGTGAAGCAATTGGTAGTTGGCTACAAGATACAGTTATGTCTCTCTTTGTCCAGCTAAATCAACAGCAAGGAAGGTAAAGCAAACATTAAAAGTGAAGCTGACATTGGGAAGGCAGGTTCTGGTAGGTCTAGTGGCAAGAGATTTAAGGGTTGGAGCAGAGTTAAAATTGTTGGTGAAATAAATAACAGTTTACAAGCAATTCTGAAGAGGCCACAAACTATATGACGGAAGAGCACACAAGGGTCTCTGTCACCAAGACCATAGCTCCATGTGGTAGCATCAAAGCATAAACAAGCCTTAATTCAAGAATAACAATGACAACAATGTTAAGCTCTTTAGACACCTACTATGCACCAAGCACTATGGATCCAACATTGGATACCGTGAAGGAGATTTGAGTTTAATGGGAGATGCAGACATTTAAACAGGTACTTTCAATGTCATGTGACATAGCAAAAGGGGATAAATAGATAGGCTGGACCTAGAAAAAAAGGTCAGGATTAAGAAATGGGTCTGCCCCATTTGCTTCCCCCCTAAGAAGGTGTTCACTCTCAAAGCCATTGTCTCGTGTCGACTTCCTGCTAATTCTTAGTATGGTGAGATAGATGACTTGGTATGTGAGTTAATTAATTTGACTTGGCCTCAATTTTTAAAATGGAGGATTTGTTTTAATGAAATATTGTTTAATGGCCAGAAAGCATACCAGAAGTTAGAAACTACAGGCTGTGAGGCACATTCTTGTGGCAAGGAAGAGCCTGCTCCAGAGTCCCTCAAGTTTTAAGATGTAGCCATTCTCTCCTACTGTGGGCTGAGAGGGAAGCCCACTCTACAGCTCTTCTTTCACCCCTCCAAAATAACTCTGTTCATCCTCTGTAAGCCTTCGAGGCTATAGGAAGATGAAGCCTATTGGCATGAACCCAGGGAAGAAGAAAAATTACATATATAATAGGTAAGACATTTCAAAATGTTCTGAAAGAAAATAAAAGAAGCAGATATGATTCAGGATAGCCAGGAAATTACTTCACCCAAAGTAAATCAACTAGTAACTAAACATTGACAAAAGCTCTTCTTATATCAAGTCAAGATGTAGACACCCAAAACAAACTATTGCAGAATGAATGTAGATGGTCAAGAGACAAACATATTTTTAATTATTAATACTTTGGGGAAAAAATTTGTTTTTACAAATGTGCAGAAAAGTAATAAATAGAAATGTTTAAGAAAAGTGGCTTGGGTAAATATTTTTAATTAACCAGTGTAAAAATAGTGCCTTCAAAATGGAATATTCTCACAAATAAAAGCCAAGCAACTTCTTAGTGAATCTGACAGAAAAAGTCATTCTCAGTAACAGCTTCCTCCAAAAATTTTTCCCATTAATGCACATACTTTTTGGCTTGTATTACTGAAATGTTGCTTTACCTTTCCATTTCCCCTTACTTGTAGAGATTCATTCTGATGGCTAATTTGATGTTTATTTAGTTCTGAAAAAAGGTTAATTAGAAATTATGGGGGTGCAGATCGTGTTATTTTAAACTAACCTGTAAAGCAAGAAATATTATCCTCAGTCCACACTCATTAGTTGCTAGCAAATGTAAATGCAGGATTTAATTTCCCTTGTATAGTTTCTGAAAAAATTCAAAGTTATGCAATATCAATGTGTCAATAAAAGTGATGTTAGATAAACATTTAATTTTTTTCAATTTCATTTGAAAAATATAACAAAATTCTTAAAATTCGGTCACAAAATATTTTACTGATGTATTTGTAATAGATATACTTTAATTTTAATATTATCACTTGTTTGTAGTGAAATATTAAAATAGCTTTTCAAAATGTCTTAAGAAAGATCCCTTAATAAGACATAATTATAAGAGTTATAAGTACTAAGCATTGTGAAGTTTTTCACACTTTTGTTTTTGGTATTGCCATAAATAAATAAAATAATTTTATATTTCCTTCCTCATTCTCCGAATGACAGAAAACGATTTTAATCATGTTATTTAATACCTGAATATCTAGAAGCAAGACCTTTAAGGGGCTATTTATATTTCATACACTATGAGACACTATACCAAGCATAAGTACTTTATATTTTGATTGGATTTCAAAGACAAAAATATAATTTTTATTTTCTGTCGTATAATAGAAAGAGATCTTACAATATAAAGTATAAATATACCTTATAAATATAAATATAAGGTACCCATCTATTAATTACAAATTTCTACTAAATACGTTCACAGACCTGTTTCCTAATACATTAAAATACATACATCTGGTCTATTTTATGTGAAATATTTAACTACGGTAACACCATTTAATTGTTCTAGAATTTTCCTTCTAGCCTATGTCTGCAGGCTGTATGTAGACAGCCTGTTGTTTTGATAAGAAAAAGTATGGCTTACGTGTTTTTACCCCGTGGTTCTTAATTTTCTATTAGGACACAGGTCCATTTTGGATATTTGACTATGTACTATCTCCCTTAAAATGCAGCCACTCTAATGTTTAAATACAATTTTAGGGACTTCACGGCCCCTTGAAGAAGATCACGGACCCAGTTGTTTAATGGCTGAACAAAGCACAGAATGCATAGACAACTTCCACTGAAGCAATAATAAAGCTTATATGTATAACTTTCAGACCAATTAAGTGTTGCTTATTTTGGTTACATCGTCGTTGCTATCATAACGAGTTTACTTTTTACCACTGTACATAATAGGGTACCTGAAATGATCACTCTTAAAGAAAAAATATGTATAGCAATTTTAGGAAAAGCAACAGACCACTTCTACACTCTGAACCAAGATAAAAAAAAATTATATCAAGTGCTTCTATGCTTACCCATATGTAACAGGAAAGTTTGACGTTTGTACAAAGACAGTTCTAGTAAGTGGTAGAGATGTATGAAATCAAATCAATTCATTAAATAGGCATTTAGTGAAATTACCATAGGAGAACTGATCCTAAAACATCACTATTGATATGTTATAAATGAAGTTCAAATGAAAGAAAAAAAAATCTGTCCTATTTAAAACTCAGCACTGTTTCCATAGGTTCCAAATCAAGATGCCTTCAACCAGTCATCGTTAAGTGAGCCATACAATCTTCTGGCTTACTTCAGAAGATGTAAACTGTTTATCGAGTGCAAAATGAAAGAATAACCATGTGAAAATCAGTGAGCAGAGAAAGACGCACGAAATCCATAGCCTGAAATCACATGACCACATTGCAACGCAGCCCCTCACACCATTGTCACTGTCAGGCAGCTCAGGCGACAGGGTGCAGACAGGCGCGGAGACCGCGGTGGCCCCCTGCTCACGCTTTCTCCAAGAGCCGCAGTCCTAACGAAAACAGAAATGGGACTGCTAAGCAGTAAATCATTTGTCTCTCTCGCACACACGCGCACACCTCGTGGAGCCGCTGGGCAGTTAGCCGGCTGCCTTCTCTGGGCAGCCCAGCGATCGCAGCTTTTGCTGTGGAGGAGGACGCGCCTCTTACCCACGCCGCAGCCGGCCGGGTGAAGTTGCCCTGAAGCCCGCCACCGCCTCCAGCCCTGCTGCCTCCGGGGTCCAGGCATCCCCCAGCTGCGCCCGCTCGCTTGCCTGCCGGCGCGCCGGAGGCCGCAGCGCTGCACGCGGCTGATGGGCTCTGGGGCCCAGGCGCCCTGGCCGTGGGAGACCAGCGGCCCCGGCGCGCCCCGCGCGTTCTCACGGCCCGGCCCCGCGAGCTCAGCAGCCGGCGCGGCGCTGCTCGGCGCCCACCCCCGTCTGTGCTCCTCCCTCGGGCGCCGCGGGTCCCCCGGGCCCTGGGCCGGCCCCTCGGGCGTCCTCTCCTTTCCTCTCGCTCCTCCCCAGCGTGGGAACCCGATGCTGGCTTCCCAGGGCTGGGCAACTGGGAGCGTACCGAAGGTTTCTCAGGAGAGGAAGGAGACCCAGCCCAAGCGGGGGTCCCGGAAGAGGGACCGCCTGTCTGAAGAACCCCGACCCGCGTGGGGATGCAGCGACCACTTACTTGGTGGCTTCGCACACCTCGGGGCTGTGCTTCCGGATCTCTAGCAGCTCCAGGGCGCGCCTCGCAAATCCGCACTGCGAATGGAGAAAGAGAGCAGGCGTCAGGGGTGGCAGGCAGTGAGCGGGAGAGGGGACCCTGCAGTGGCACCTGTCGGTCCCCGCGCGAGTGCACCCTGGGCACTCGCGGCAGCGGCACTTACGCTTGGGTCGCTCATGTCTACCTGTTCAACAGGCTAGGCGGGACGCGGCGTGCCTCGGAAACTGTATCGCCCGCGTGGCTCCCAGACAGTCCTCCTTGCCTTTGTCTCTCTGTGTCTGTGTCTCCCTCTTTGATCACCCCAAAGGAACCCTTGCAGTTCCTTTCCATAAGGCATTCGATTTTTTCAGACCTCTGCCCGCCTCCTCCCCTTCTCCGCACCGAAAGACTGAAAAAGAAAGTAGCAGCCAAAACGCACCATGGTGAGATCACGCCCGGCTGGGGTCTCTAAGCTCCTCCAGGCGCTCCCTCCCCCACAGGTGTCCTCCGCCTGGGTCTGTTCCAGGCTGCTCGCTGCTCTAGCGCAGGAAAAGTGTAGGAAAACTCTGCACTGAAACCTGCTTCTGGAAAACTGACTCTGAGCTGAGTCCCACCCACTAGGCTCAGACTAGGGCAGGGGAACTGAGTCCTGGTCTCTGCAGCCGCCCAATCGCCATAACAGAAATCACTGTGTGGAGACAGAGACCTAGGGGCAGGGGACAAAAAAAAAAAAAGAGAGAGAGAGAGAGAAAGAAAAAAATTGGAGGGGACTCCAGGAAAATTTGGCACACTTAAAAAGAAAAACAAAAACATGTCTTCTCCACTATGCACTGGTGTGGAAAAACTGTAGTTTTCCACAGTTAAAAACTCCAACATTTCTGCTGGGGAAGTTGACATCTGCGCTGATGACTCTCTTGTCCTGGTTTTCAGATTTGAAGCCAATCTACTCATTTGCAGATGCAGTTTTATGGTTACAGAGATTTTACATCTTTTCAGTAAGGTCTGGCTTCTGCCTGGTTCAGTGCATTTAGTTATATTTGTTACCGTTGTGTGTGTTGTGATATTATGCTTTTAGTCACCTTTCTGACTTAAAAAAATCCCATCATGCTGTTCCATTGTGAATTAACAATTAATCATGATCTTTATGTGATCCATTTTCAATTCAGTTCAATTCATGGTTATCTTCCTCTTTTATATCTCCCCCAAGTACACCATCTAATCTGGTCCCATTTGTAAGCTCATCACATTTGCAAACTTTCTCCCAGTCTTGCCTACTGTGCTTGCCTCATAGTGAACATTAATCAGAATCAGGAAAAAAATACATTTAAATAAGTCAGGAACAGTTAAGAAAGTCAGCAATATAAGCACAGGTAGTCACAGAAACTTTTGCCTTCCTGCCATCTCAGAAACTTCTCTTCCTCTACATTTAACCCATGATACTCTCTTAGATCAGTAGGACATTTGTACTAAGAATATTTAGAACTTCAGATGTAGAAGGAAACTTAAAAAATACACAGTAATTCATTAGTAAAAAGAAGAGGGAAGTCATACTATTTTTAAGTAAATGCTATGAACATTCAGAAGAAAATGAGATATTGTCTGACAGGGTTCATAAAGGAACAGTACTAGAGATAGGACTTGAAGGATTGGTTATGTTTGGAAAAAGATAAAATAGAGGACTTTTTTGTTGTTTTTGCTTTTCTCTGACAGAGGGAAACTTGTGAGCAAACATACAGAGGTTGGAAAGGCATGACACTGTTATTCAAGAAACAAGGAGTAATACCATCTGGTAGAAATAAAAAGTACATAAAGAAAAGTGTAGGAAGATACGGTGGAAAGATAGGCCGGGTTCAGATGCCTGATCCGCAGTTGTCACGTGTTGCAGGCTTGTATAAAGACTTTGTTGTTGCTGTTGTCCTCGTCTGTTGATACCATTACCAATATTCCTTTCATTCTGGAAAATGACTTGTTTAACCCATTAATTTCTACTTTTACCATTCTCAAGTTTTATGGCACACCAAACTCCTTGATTAGTATTGCATTTGACCCCAGTACATTCTGCCAGGAGCTACCGAGTTTTACTAAGAGTAGACTCTCAACTGGATAGTGTCTTGTCTTCTTCCTCCTCTATCCTTTCTGACTGTCAGACAATGGGTAAGAAGAGGAAGCAACCAATCTAAACATAAGGGTGGCTAGAACCACCAAAAGGTGACTGCAAAAGACATTCTGTAATCTGGATGTTTGATATGCTCTAAAAAAGTAACAAGAGTTCCTTGTTGTTAGGGAAATACTAATCTTCACAGCCTAATTTCCTAGTAATGAAAATGGTTCATAACGGGATTCACTAAAATGCCTGCTGAGTGGATAAATGAATACCTGAATATTTCATCATCTTCCAGGTCCAATCTTCTTTCTTATAGTTGACTTATGGGTTAAAACCTACTTTCCTCCACTTTATGGAGAATAAGAAAGTTGTCATGACAACTTAATAAAAATGTTAACAAGGAAAATTACTCAGTGTAAAGCAATCTCCTTAGCCATGTTGATGCTGGCAGAAAAGCTCAAGAAATTTTTATTTCCTCTCAAGATGCTTTGTTTTTCTTGTACCTACAACCCACAATTGACAACAGCATGAAAGCATTTAAATGTACATTACTTTCACACTTGCAAATGAAAGGACAATGGCAACTAGAGATAGTATCTAAATCCTTGCTACTCAGAGTATGGTTTCTATATTAGCAGTATCCCATAACCTACAATCTTGTTGGAAATACAGAAGTTCAGGCCCCTCTCTAAACCAACTGAATCAGACTATCCATTAAACAGAATCCTCAAGTGATTCCTATGCACATTAAAGTTTGAAAAGCACTGGTCTACTATCAAGGCATTAAGTATGATAAGCCTCAAAACACATCGTATGAATCTTTCTAAATTCAGGGATTTTTAGAACCTGCATCTTTATTTTTCTGGGTTACTATTGCCATGTCAGTTCAAATAAAGTAATGGGACTAATGGTTTCATCTCTACTGACTTTGTGGACCATAAAAAATCCATAAACCAAGGGGAATTAAGAACGAGATAGAGAACAGTAAAAGGGTAGAAATGAGAGAAGTGTTACATATATGTCAGGGTCAGAGCTTTGTTTTATTTTTAGCAAACGAACAAACTATGGATTGTATGGTTTACCAAATTAGGATAACCTCTCAAATATAAGAAAAATAAGATAAACTTCTGGCTCCTTATTTCCTCCTTTTCTTAGTATTATTCATTTTCAATTTGTTTTAATGTACCTGGTTAAAGTTTACACTGGTAACTTGCAGTAAGATGATGCAAAGACTCCAAAATGTCTCTTTTGTATGAATGTAAAGCTTTAGTTAGAAAAACTAGATCTTATTAGGTTGGCGTCCACGCATTTCTAGTCCTGGTATAGACATTCACAAAGCAGCCTGGACTGGAAGAGATTCTGATGGTAACAGAAATGCTGTCCACTATATTTTTGCCAAGGAGTTGGTGTTTGTGAGCAGTAAATACAGTGGTAGGTAGAATAATGGCACTCCAAAGATGTCTACCTGCTAATCCTTAGAACCTGTGAATATGCAATTTTACATGGCAAGAGAGAAGTAAGGATGCAGATAGAATTAGGGTTACTAATCAGCTAGTCTTGAGATGGGAATATTATTCCAGATTAGGTGGGTGAACCAAATGCAATCAAAAGGGTCCTTGTAAAAGAAAGATTAAAGCAATAGAGTCAGTCAGAGTCGGAGTGATGCTATGTTAGAAAGAATTGATAAGCAATTGCTGGCTTTGAAAATAGAAAGGGGGCTGGGTGCAGTGGCTGACACCTGTAATCCCAGCACTTTGGGAGGCGGATGCGGGTGGATCACTTGAGGTCAGGAGTTCGAGACCAGCCTGACCAATATGGTGAAACCCTGTCTCTACTAAAAATACAAAAAATTAGCTGGGCATGGTGGCAGGTGCCTGTAATCCCAGCTACTCGGGAGGCTGGGGCAGGAGAATTGCTTGAACCTGGGAGGTGGAGGTTGCAGTGAGCCGAGATCACGCCATTGCACTCCAGCCTGGGCGAGAAGAGCGAGACTCCGTCTCAAAACAAAAAAAAAGTAGAAAAGAAAAGAAAATAGAAGGGGCTTAGCCAAGGAATATGTGCAGCCTCTAGAAGATGAATAAGGCTAGAAAATTATCCTCCCTTAGAGTCTCTGGGACAGAAAGTAGCCCTGCCATCACCTAGGTTTTAGTCTAATGAGACTCATTTCAAACTTCAGACTTCCACAGATGTAAGATAATAAACGTGTGTTGTATTAAGCACTAAGTTCGGGGGTAATTTGTTACAATAGTAATAGGAAACTAAATGTCAAAGTGTCTTTGGTATTGGACAATGGCAAAGGCTGGAAGAATTGTGTGTAGCCAGCATTTTAAAAACCTAGATTGCAGGGTGGGGGGATGGGGGAGGGATAGCATTAGGAGATATACCTAATGTAAATGATGAGTTAATGGGTGCAGCACACCAACATGGCACATATATACATATGTAACAAATCTGCACGTTGTGTACATGTATCCTAGAACTTAAAGTATAATAATAAAAAATAAAATAAAATAAAAACCTAGATTGCCTTGAACACATTGTTAGTAGAAACATGGATGCTAACTCTGCTAGTGAGGCCTCAGAAGAAAGTGAGAGGCATGGTAGAGAAAATCTGTATCATCTTAGGGAATACATAAATCATCATAAATCATCATGAACAGACTGCTGGTACAAATATGGACATTAAAAGTGCTACGAACAGGATACAGGTGGAAATGAGGAAAGTGTTATTGGAAGTTGTAGGAAAGGAGATCATCAGTTGATATGGTTTGGCTGTGTCCCCACTCAAATCTCACTTCGAATTTTAACAATCCTCACATGTCAAAGGCAGGGCCAGGTGGAGATAATTGAATCATGGGGGCAATTTTCCCCGTACTGTTCTCCTGGTAGTGAATAAGTCTCACGAGATATAATGGTTTTATAAACGGGAGTTCCCCTGCACAACTTGTCTTGCTTGTTGCCACATAAGACGTGGTTTTGCTCCTCCTTCACCTTCCGCCATGATTGTGAGGCCTTCCCCAGCCATGTGGAACTGTGAGTCCCTTAAACCTCTTTTTCTTGAAAAATTACCCAGCCTCAGGTATGTCTTTATTAGCAGCGTGAGAACAGACTAATATGTCAGTATATGGTGGCAGAAAACTTAGCCGAATTATGTCTCACAGATATGTGGAAATATTGATCTTGGATATTTAACTGAGAAGATTCCTAAGCAAAATGGTGAAGGCACAGCCTACTTTCTTCTTGCTATTGTAAAATGTGAGAAAACAGAGAAAGATTGAAGGAAGAACTGTTAAGCCGAAAAAGAACCAGAACTTTATCTGGGAAATCCTCAACCTATCCACATTGCAAATTTTGCTATGTCATCTTTTGTCATGGTAAACGTGTCTTTTTACTTTGCAAGTCTGAGAGATTTTATCATTTCTCATATTTGAAAAGCCTGCTACATGTCTAGATACAGGAGGCCTCTATATGTTTAACTTATATTAAAATAATAGTTATACTGACTTTTAGTTGCCAATAGTTAGCCCTGATATCATTACATAGGCACTAGTATTCCATAAATTGTATGCACTTTGAATTAAAACAAAATGGTATCCTATAGGCCCTGACATATTTAATGCTGTTTCAAAAATACTCTACCATAGGGGTAACTTACAAATTCAATGATTTTGGAAAACTGAAAAAATATAGAGTGGATACAGTGTCATATAAAAAAGTAAGATGAATGAGTTAATGGCTACTGCAAAATAAATATGAAACTTGTTCAAAGGTGTTTTTGAGTATAACTCAAGATATTTCAACACAAAATATCTCAAAAAAGTTGATCAGTTTCAAAAGAAAGCTTCAGCCAAATGAAGAAATGATGTGTTAAAAAAAATTCCATGGAAAGATAGCTGTAGTTAAGCTCTCATTCTAAGTTGGTTCAACAACACTCTGTTTTCAATATTGTTTTTTTCCTCTAGCTTAGTACCCATTCGCTATCTTGCTTCTTATGAGATTTCTAGACTTTCCAAAATCATTGGCCATTTGAAGACAGAGTCCGTGTTTTATGGGTCTTTGACTTTACTATTTTTTTTTTACATAGAAAACTAATGCCAGGTGCCAATCAAACAAAACGAATTATCAAAATAAGGACGAATGATCTCTTTGCTGTTGTTCTAACATTTTAATTGTCAAGAGAGAATCATCGTTAATCATAAGTTAACATAATAGGATGATAATTATCCACCAGGCATTATTCTAAGCACTTTGTATGCATTACATTATCTGTTTCCCCTAAAATCCCTTTGAAGGTGAGCATTATTATCATGTCAGCTTTACAGATGAGAAAATTGGGGTATAGGGAGATTAAGCATCTTTCCTAAAATCACACAGCTAGGAAGTGGCAAAATTAGGACTCAAACTCAGGCAATCTGGTTCATAAGCCTGGGGTATTAATAATTCTGGTTACTCTGAAAGGAGCTTGTGAATTATCAAAATAAAGATCACCAGCTCAGATTTATTAAGTCATATTCTTTGAGTAGGCTCCAGAAACCTGTATTTTAACAAGCATCTGTAGATCATTCTGAGAGTTGAGGATCACACGAATACTAAAAATGTCAAGGTTGTAATCTTATTGAAGAAGCCTTTGGGTGTTTGCCCTCTGGTGATGCCATTATGTAATAGGCTTGAGTTTTCAATATTAGCACATCAAACTGATCTCTTGATGTCTTTGCTTAACATTAGTTTCAGCTACCAAGTGACTAGTGGAGAATATGAGTTTCAATAGCTTGATTTCCTAGTAGAATGGCTAACTACATAGATGTCTTGTGTTTTCATTTAATTATGCGTTTGTAGAAAAGGAGGGAAGAAGGGGAGGGAGGGAGAGAGGAAGGGAAGGAGAGAGAAACTTGACTGAAGGTCAGCAAAGCATTGGAAATATATCCAATGAAGTTACTTATAAAAGGAAATATTCAGGAAAATATACTTAGGTGATTTTTTTCCAATTCTTCAAATGTCACAAAAGTTGTCTTATTCTTGCTTCCTTTCATGGCAAAACCTATTCAAAAATAATTGTTGATTAAATGAAAGCCTTTCACAGAGAGTTGAAAATTTTTAACATCTTCTATTTTTAGACACTGGACATGTAAACAACCCAAAAGCTCCTGAAGTTGAAGCTCCAAAGCATCTTGCTCAACCATATGGCTGTCTGCTAGTTCAGGAGGTCTTGCATAGCTGAGTTAAAACAGAGTTAAAAAAAAACAGCCTTAATAGAACATCAATCACATTTAGAAGGGCACATTTACTCAAAATTATTATAGATGAGGTTTTTTTTTCATTGTGGAGACTATGAGCATGAGCCCTTATATTTGAAGAAATATTCAAAAGTAATATGAGCTTCTGATCTTTAGGAGAGAGTCATCTGTATAAAAAAAAGTTTGTAAACTTTCAAAGAACTTTTTTTAAAAAAGTAGACTTTATTTGCTAAAGTGCCCTCTCTTTAAAAGTATTGTAAGAGATAAAACATTTTCTACTTCTTAGATTATACTTTCATAATTTAAAGCTACAAAATATGGTATGAGAAAAATCATATGCCACCAATTAAGCTGTCCTGTAAAAATAAGCCCAGGAAATTTTCTTTATTCTCACACAGGACACCCACTCACTGGGGATGTTTTGTATTAATGAGCTAATGTAACTGTATCCGAAAAATCTAATGAATGGGTATGAGTTTTGCTTTTGATTCTCACTGTGCCTTAGAAGTCAAGATGTTTTCTTTGAACCTAGCTCCTAAGTGTGTTTCATGCCTGCTTCTCCTCCTGGAAAAAGGGAAGCACATAGATCTCAAAACTGTAAAAGGCAGCCAAAAACACTGAGATACTCTTAAATGATAGTCTCACCAGACAGGGCCAAAAGGCATATCCTGAGCCATGGCTTAAAAAAAGAACTGATTCAAGTCTGAAAGTAAAGAGAACTCTGTTTTGACATAGGGAAAAGGCAAATTATGCAGAGGCAGGCTTGTTGAAATCTCACTTTATGAAAATGACAGCTATGGCTGCCGCTCTCATATTTATAAAATACTTTGTTTAAACAGTTGACAATATTACCTAAGAGAAATAATGTCTTACCAAATCTCTTTCTTATTACTTTTTAGAGTATTCTATTTTGGTCTCATTGTAACATTAATGCAAGGAGCTTTCCCTTTCCAACACTATGGAAGATGTGCAGAGAAACCCTTCCTAGTGCTGAAAAGCTGACAGGCTGAATAAAAATTTAAATATGCTTTTAAGGCTTAACCAGGCTGCCTCTTCAGAAAAGGTAATGTGATGAGACCAGAAACAAGGAGAAAGGGTGCCATTGGTAAGCAAGCATGGTGTCTGGCAATTGCCCTGAGGTCACCTACTTATAACTGGTGGGCTTAGAGCCTAGGTTATCGGGTGACATGTGCAGGGGAGACAGAAAACAAAACTAGTTGTGCAAATTGAAAATGACACCACACTAATAATAGCCTTGGGTGGGGAAGGAGAGTGTTTGCACACAAAGTACCTTGTCTCTTTAAGTATTGGCTGATAATGGAGCAGGGAAAAAACACATCTCTACTGAAAATTTCTGAGCACAAGCCTCTACTTATACAGTCTTTTATTTGAAATTTATACTAACTCTGTGGCTTGAAAATCCCCAGGCAGAAACTGTATTTGAAGTGGTCCGTGTTGAGAATGCCCCAGGAGCCAGGCAGAAGCAAACATAAATTCTCACTAGGAAAATACACTTTAAAGATAAGCTTCAAATAATCACTACAAATAAAGTATCAGGGAAAACAAGTCTGTAATAAGGAAGTTATCAAATACATGAGGAAAAAAGCTGCCATAAATCATAGAAAGCAGAACTAAAGAATTTAAAATCAGACCAACAAGGACTATAAAAGCAGAAATTATTCAAAACAGAATATATGTTTAATATATATATTTAAATAAAATGTATTTGTAGCATAACAAAGAAACCAAATAAATGACTTGACCAGTTTGAAACTAAAACCAAAAAGAACTCCCAGAAATTAAAAACACAATAATTAGAAATAAAGTTTCATGAATGTATTAAATAGATTAGATAAAACTGAAGAGAAAATTAATGAACTGGAAAATATATATAAAGAAATAATACTGAATTTAGACAAAAAGATGAATTAAAATATGAAGGATAGGTTAAGACATTTGAAAGGTACTATAAGGAGAGAATAGCAATTTAGTGGCAAGGCAATATTCAACATGATAGTGGTTAAGAGTTTCCAGAATTTAGTTCAGTCACCCATCCTCTGCTTAGCCCAACAATTTCCAAGAAAGATAAATACATTTTAAAATATCTAAAAATCCACTTACAAATACATTTGGTAAAAGGACCAAACAAAGATAAATAAATCTTAAAAGCAACCAGAGAGAAAATCAGATCACCTACAGTGGAATGACAATTAGACTGACTATCAGCTTTGCTAATTGCATAACAGAAATAATTAAAGGTGGAAGAAAACAATCTTCATAGTGCGAGAAATGCTGAGAGATAAATTACTGTCCTTAGGATCTTATATTCAGGAAAATTGACTTTGAAGAAATGGTTGGTGGGGATGGAAAGAAGTTAATCTTTGAGATTTTAAAACGAACATACCTCCTATAAAATAATTTCTAAAGATGTAGTACAGAAAGAACAATTTCCAATCAGGAGTTCTAACTGCCAAGAAAGAATAGTGAGGAAAAAAACAACAAATATGTAACATGTTTAGGTCAAATACAAACAAAGAAATAGAGTGATAAACTTTTAAGTATTTCCTTTCCTCAAAAAGAATAAAGCAAAGGGCTACAAACTAACTGAAGTTATTTGCAACACATAATTAAAAACAGATGAACAACTTTGTAAATAGTCCACATGTCCTACATTTTTCTTTGATATGTTCCCAAGAGTTTGGGTTTCAGAGAATGAGTTATTTAATTGTGACTAATACCACTAGTCAGATCATTTAATATTTTAATCAATTTATAATCTTATCTGTTTTGTGTAAAGAATGAACTACATGGTTGCTATTATTTTTAAGATTTATGTTTGATATTTTTCATTAAAAGTGAATCTCAAAGTGTATTTCTTTCATAAGTGATTTTAAATATCTTACATGTTTATTTAGTCATTATTATTACCACAACCCCCTATTTTTTTGACTGTCCGTTGATGTCCTTTGCCCTTGGTTGAGGTATTAGTGTTTTTCTAATTCATTTGAAGACATTCCTCATATAGTGAGATTATGCACCTGAAATATCAAAATTATGAACCTCAACTTTGAATTCATCTTGATTAAATTACAAGAAACCATAGATTACAATAGAATTTAATGAGAAGCCATGGACAAAAAGTACTCAGCGTTGGGCTGATTAACATCCTTTTCAAACTAGTTAAGACTATTTGCATTATGGTGATCATAATAGGACAATGAAAGAACGCAGTTGGAGGGCTAGGCAGGTAAGGCAAGGACTTATTTAAAATTAAAGTATGCACGGTCTGATTTTCCATGTGATAATTAGAGCCCCCTTTTATCTGTAGACTGACATTCAAAAAGAGGCAAAATACACTCTTGTCAGATTCATTCATTCATTCATTCAAATACTTTTACTGAATAACAATCATAAACCAGGCACTATTCTGTAAACTGGGGAACAAGCAAGGATCCCTATTATTGTGGCATTCCACAATGACAAAACAGATGATTAAAAAGATTAACAAATAAAATATTAGGATGTCAGGTGGTAATATGTGCTATGGAGAAAAACAGAGCAGAGAAGGATGGTTGTTGGGAGGTGGTTAAGGTAGGAAGAATAGGGAATGTCAGCTGTGCAGCCAATAGATTGTTATTTCTTAAATCTCTCAAGTATGAAATATTTAAGTTTCGTTACAACCACTGTCTCCGATTTCATTTTCGTTTGGAAAACCTATCACTTTACGCATTTCAAACAGAAAGGGATGCTAATAGAACTACTGAAAGACCTGGGGAAGGAATGTAGGGATCCCAGGAGGAACATACCCTTGAGGATGTCAGCTGCCTGCAGCAGGCATGAGGTTGATACAGATCTCAACAAGGTCCTCTGCCCCTGCAGGTGTCTTCTGCTGCCAGAGGAGAACAGTGCTTCTCCTGTTCTCTTTCATCTAAATCTGACATAAATTCTGAATCCAAATTAAACCCTGTTGGTGGAGGATTCTGGGAACTGTCCTTTCCATGCTCCCTACTTGCATTGCAAAAGAAAGTATAGAGAAAAAGGAAGTTTACAAAGGGGCAAGAATGATGCAGAGTTGCTAACAGCAATCTGACACGGCAGCAAAGTTTGAAAATACATTTATTATCACAAATAATGCAAAAGTTTGTTTTTGCCCAATTAGTTCATACATTTATTACAGATTATTAAATTTTCCCATCTAAGTTGTAAATGAATCCCCCAGCTTTGAGATAATTAACCAGAAGTTTGAGGCATAGAGAGATAATATTAGAAAAAAAGCAGGCTAAATAATGAATAACACAGAGAGGTAGAGTTGGCACTGAGAGGAAACATAGTTCTATTGCAATTTCTTTATGATTCGATTAGGTAAGTTTAATTCGAGTGGTATGAATATTAATTCAATCAAATATATTGTATATTCATTAACTTCACACACTTAAATATTTATTCTACCTTTCCATGAGATGAATTAATATAATAAATGATATGGATATCATGAATGGATATTAATTTATCTATTCAGTCTTTCCTCACTTGATTCAATTATATTTTATTCTTTGTTAACCTAACCGCTGGTGATTTATTTATTTTTAATTTATTTTATTTATTTATTTTTTTGAGACAGAGTCTCGCTCTGTTGCCTAGGCTGGAGTACAGTGGTGTGATCTCCGCTCACTGCAACCTCCGTCTCCCAGGTTCATGCCATTCTCATTCCTCAGCCTCCCTAGGAGCCGGGACTACAGGCGCCGGCCACCACGCCCAGCTGATTTTTTGTATTTTTAGTAGAAACGGGGTTTCACCCTGTTAGCCAGGATGGTCTCCATCTCCTGACCTCGTGATCTGCCCACCTCGGCCTCCCAAAGTGCTGGGATTACAGGCATGAGTCACCGAGCCTGGCCCACTGGGGATTTTTTAAAACTGTGATCTAATCGTGGTTCCCCAGGACTTCACAGTCTGGAGGTGGACAGGAAATTTGAAAAATAATTGCAGCACAATGATACAAATGATATAGAAATGCTCAGAGGGTGCTTTGGGAACTCATAAAGGGCCATGAATAATTTTGAAGAGTTGATGTTTCAATTGAGAATTCTGTGCTGTCTAGTAATTTTCCAAATAGAAGTATAAATAGTCCAATTTTACAGATTAGGAAATTGAAGCTCAGAGAGGCTAAATGTGTGAAGTCATACAGAGTGCCAGCATAGTGACTGATGCAGATTAGGAGTTTCTAATGTTAAGATTTGTTGAATGTGTGGAAGGGAAGGGTGAGGAGTGATTTGGTGACTAGAGAATAGGGTATGAGGGTATGATTGTATTTACTAAAGTTTTCTAAGATTGGTATCTTCAAATTTCAGAAAATCAGATGTTTTTCGCTTGATTCCGATTCTTTTTAAAGTCTCATGATGTGTTTTAGGAGGAAAAGAGTAAAATTCTTACTGTAATAGTAACCTGTCAAACAATACCAACAATGAACGTAAACACAAAAATTAAGAACTTCTTAAAATCCACACATAATTAAGTTAGGTATTAGAATAAAGGGAACCAAGAAGACAAGGAAAAAGCTTATAAGAAAACATGACTGTATCAATAAACTTTAATTGTAGTTTTGTGCATTTTGATAATTCAACAAATACTATTAAGAAGCCCCAAATATTTCATATCTGCTATCCTTGAAGTTTGTCATGTAAGTCAGAGATGAAACATGTAAGAACAGACTTACTTCCAATCTTACTTGTATTGGACTTCCAATCTTACTTGTATCCCTTTTACAGAACAATATTTAGAGCCTACAGGCCATGGAAAGTAAATGGCCAATGTCCAGGCACTTTTAATGAGCTATCTGATGATATTACCTACTTTAACCACACTGAAGCGGAGGGAACATTTTTATCTCATTAGCTATCTGCTTTCCTTCTGCAAATAATGTTTGTTTTATTTTTGGAGTTAAGATGAGTAAATAAAAAAAGAAAAAAGGATTTATAGGGTAAAACTTGTCTTATCATTCAATCTTTTCACAGGTAGACAATTCTTCCAATAGACATTCTTTCAACTATACAGAATAAATACACAGACTTTGTACACTTTTTTTTTAACACATCTCTTTCAGAGGGGAAGAGCAGTTCAAGCAACAGTGACTATTAGGAACATTAATTCAAGAAGAAGCATATTCTAAATTTTTCATTTCTTTAAAAATGTTATACTTTGGTAAAAGAACAAGGGCAACTATAACGAGTTGATAAAATATTAATTAAAATAGGATTTATAACTTAATCTAAATTTTGAGTCTTTCAGTATAAACTTTATTTTTAGATCTTGCTAACTTTAACCTTGGTTTTATTACATAAGTAAGTGAAATAAATTCTTCTAAATCATTGTACCTTCTTACATTTGAAGTCTCTTAAGGATTATTTAAATTTCCTAGTAGATTGACTAGTCATATAAACCTTTGGAATTCATCTACTTACTTTTTAATTGCTGTAAGGAAAGAAAGAATGCTTTCTGTAATTTTAGGAAAAGCTCTAACTCATTTTTCAAGTGTTCTCTATCTAATTTCAGGTTTTCTGCACATTTCCCACTTCTGTAGTCAGAAATTGATAGTGAAAATAAATACCTATATAAATGCCTATCACTAGTATGGAAAGTTTGCATAAATGCTTATTTTACTGGTAATAAAGCAATTATCAGAAAGCTGTAACTTGTTTAGGTCATAGGGCATGAATCTCACCATTTGAAGAGGCCAAGTTTACTCATCACAACACAAAAAGGGAGATATCACAATTATACAAATGCTTAGGCTGTACAGATAGCAAAATTGAGTTATTCAGATCCCCAGCATTCATCTTAGTCAACTTAATTTAATCAAGTGAGTATTAGCCTTAAGATAACTGAAAATCTCCATTAGAACAGCCTCTTGTTTTGGATATTTAAAGACAGCAAGATAAATGTAGGTCTTTTCTTAATGACTATGTGACTTCACTCATATTCCATTCCACCTTAGGATAGCTGCTAGAGAATCTTAAATCTATAAACCATTCCATGAAAATCATTATTTGTATTAGTTTCTTAGGGCCACTGTAACAAATTACCGTGCACTTGGTGGCTTTAAAGAACAGAAATTTCTTCTTTCACAGTTCAGAAGCCCAGTATTCTGAAATCAAGGTATCTCCAGGTTTGATTCCCGCTGGAGACTCTGAGGGAGAATCCTTTCTGAGCCTCCCTCCGAGCTTCCGATGCTGCTGGCAATGCTTGGTATTCACTGGCTTAGAGTTGCCCCACTCTAGTCCCTGTCTCCATCTTCACATGACCTTCCCTCTATGTCTCCATAGCTTCTCTGTTTAAGTTTCTCATAAACTCTCATTGTTAAATTTAGGGGCCACCTTAATCCAGGATGATTTCATCTCCAGATCCTTACCTTAATGATATATGCAAATATCCTTATTCCAAATAAGGTCACATTCTGATGTTCCTGGTGGAAATATTTTTGGGGAGCCACAATTCAACACACTATACTATATTTGTCAATAACTGAACAGTTTCTATGTAAATTCCACGTTGCATGAGTTTTTGGTGAATGTTCCCCAGGCTGTTTTGTCATAGACACGTTAACCATTATGTCATTTGCAACATTTATGGTCTCATAATGTTATCCTTTCATTTTGTGCTATATACAGAACATGAAAATCAAACATATTCTTTATATTTTCCTTTTCTCTGAACCTAATTTGCCATTTTATTAAAATGTTCAATCTCTTCTCCGGAAATCTAATCGTATGGTTAGAATATCACGATTTTAAAGAAATTCATCAACTGCAAATAGACAATGACGTGATGGTTAATTTTTTTGTGTCAACTTGACTTGGCAAAAGATGCCCATATTGCTGGTAAAATATTATTTCTGGGTGTGGCTGTGAGGGTGTTTCTGGAAGAGATTAGCATTTGGATTGGTAGACTGAGTAAAGAAGGTTGCTCTCATCAGTGTGAGAGTGGGCACACTCTGTGATGGAGGGGCGAATTCTCTCTCTCTCCTTGAGCTGGGACATCCATCTTCTGCCCTGAGATATCAGAACTCCTTGGGCTTTTACACTTAGACTGGGACTTATACCATTACCTGCCCACCACCCCAACCCAACCCCTCACTCTCAGACCTTCAAACTTGAAGTAAAAATGTTTTAATAAGAAGTTTATAAACTAAAAAGTTACGGTAAGCTAAGATTAATGTGTTAATGAAGAAAGAAAAAAATTTAAATAAATTTAGTGTGGCCTAAGCATACAGTGTTTGTAAAGTCTACAGTAGCATAGTCATGTCCTAGGCCTTCACATTCACTCACTACTCACTCGCCAACTCTCCCAGAGCACCTTCCTGGCCTGCAATATACCTCGATTCATGGTACCAGTTTTTATCTTTTACATATTTTTACTGTACCTTTTCTATGTTTAGATGTGTTTCTATATGTTTAAGTATACAAATCCTTACTGTTGTGTTACAGTTGCCCATAGTATTCAGTAGAGTAACATGCTGTACATGTTTGTAGCCTGGGAAAAAATGGGCTATCCCATCTAGCCTAGGTATGTGGTAATCTATACCATCTAGATTTGTCTAAGTACATTCTATGATGTTTGCATGATCATAAAATTGACTAAGAATGCATTCCTCAGAACATATCCCTATTGTTAAATGATGCATAACTGTTCTGGTTTACCCAGGAATGTCACACTTTACATGTGATCATTTTTATTTATGCCTGTTGTTCGGTTGTCACATCTGGATTAGCCTTTGTTGAGATTTTTTAATATTTTGAAATACAGTGTTATTAGTAGTAGTTGCATTATAATGATCACAAATCATTATAATGTGCCAGACCTCCACTTTGTGTTTACAGCTTCTGCTATGCTTCGTGACAGTGATGTGTATTGATATAGCTTACCCGTGTCCCCACCCAAATCTCATCTTGAATTGTAGCTCCCACAATTCCCATGTGTCATGGGAGGGAGGGACCTGCTGAAAGGTAATTGAATCATGTGGGCAGGTCTTTCCCGTGCTGTTCTTGTGGTAATGAATAAGTCTTACGAGATCTGATGGTTTTATAAAGGGGAGTTCCCCTGCATAAGTTCTGTCTTGCCTGCCAACATGTAAGACATCCCTTGCTCTTCCACAATGATTGTGAGGCCTCCTCAGCCATGTGGAACTGTGAGTCAATTAAACCTCTTTCCTTTATAAATTAACCAGTCTTGGGTATGTCTTTATTAACAGTGTGAGAACAGACTAATACATGTGTCCTATTGCCAAAAAAAAAAAAAAAAATTATTTTAACATGTAGATAAATCTGAAAGGCAATTTATCTGTTTTCAGATGCAAAATGATTGATATCTTTCTTTCAAGGAAGCTATGAAGGCACTAGCTGGTAAAGACATGTGCCCAGACCATAAATTGATATTTTGAGGTAGTTTGTAGGTAATTTCATAAATAATTAAATGTAAGAATAATGTATTATAAAGGCAAATTCTTTAAAAAGCATCCAGTTACATAATAGAAGCCAAAATAGATAAGAAATTGACTGAAGCTGGTGAAACTATACCAGTTACATTTATATTACATGTTACTTATGCTATTTTTAAATCAACTTTTTATTTTAGAACAGGTTTAGGTTTTACAGAAAACTAGCAAAGATAGTACAGAGTTCTGATGTACTCCACACCAAATTTCTCCTATTATTTACATCTGACATCAATATTGTATATTTGATATAATTAATGAACCAATGTTGACACATTAAAGCTTATATGTTATTAGGATTGTCTTAGGTTTTTTTTTTTTTATTTTTAACTGGAGTCTCAGTCTGTCACCAGGCTGGAGCACAGTGGCGCGATCTCGGCTCACTGCAACCTCCGCCTCCCAGGTTCAAGGGATTCTCCTACCTCAGCCTCCCAAGTAGCTGGGATTACAGGCACACGCCACCATGCCTAGCTAATTTTTGTATTTTCAGTAGAGACAGGGTTTCACCATGTTGGCCAGGAGGGTCTCGATCTCCTGACCTCGTGATCTGCCCGCCTGGGCCTCCCAAAGTGCTGGGATTGCAGGCGTGAGCCACCGTGCCAGGCCATTTCCTTAGCTTTTAACTGTCTGTTTTCTTTTCCTGTTCCAGGATACTGCATTAAATTTAGTCATGTCTCTTTAAGTTTGTTTTGGGTTTGACAGTTTTTCAGACTTTCCCTTTTTTAATGACTTTGAAAGCTTCAAAAATTACTGGGCAGGTATTTTGTAGAATGGTCCTCGTTTTCATTTGTCTGATACGTTACTCATGATTAGATTGAGGGTTACGTGTTTCTGGAAAGAATCTCAGAGGTAAAGTGCCATTGTCATGACATCATATCAAGGGTACATCCTGTTGATCTTAACCTTGATCACCTGATTGAGGTAGCGTTGGTCCGGTTTCTCCACTGAAAATTTACTCTTCTCCCCCTTTCCATACTTTCTAGTTTGAGATGATGTCACTATGTGCAGCCACACTTAAAGACTGAGGAAATAAGCTGCACTTCTTTGAGGCTGGAGTATCTACATCAATTATTTGAAATACTGTAGGAAAATTTGCTTTTTCCTCCTCCATTTATTCACTTATTCGATCTATTATTTATATCAGCATGGACTCATCCATATGTATTTTATATTTTGGGTATAATCCGATACTACTCTATTTATTCTGTTGCTCAAAATTTTCCAGCTTTGTCCCTTGACCATACATTTGTTATAATGTTTTGTGAGTACTTCCTTACTTATTGACAGTAGAAGCTGCTACAAGCTAATGTTGTAATGTTGTATATTTTCTGCTGCAGTCCTAGATTCAAGCATCTCCAAGGAGCCTTGGTTGCTCTTTATTGAGGAATGATATTAGGATCCAAAATCTGGGCACTAGTTTTGTTTGTTGCTACTAGGTTTGTTTGTTGCTTTTAGGCCCCTCAGCTGACACAACAAGGAAATATATGTGTGCTTACTAACCACTGTATATACCTGTATCTATTAATAATTCCATAGTTAGTCATCTGTATCTATATTCAGTTAAACATGAGTTCCTAGTGCTGTCTCTGATTCTAATCCGTTACCACATGGATTATTCTAGCCCCTTTCCTTTGCTTATTGTAACCAATAAGAGAGAAAAATGGCAGGAACAAACTGCCATTCATTTGCTTTATTGCTCAATTGCAGTATTAGTAATCTGTATCCCCATAAAAAAAAAAAAAGCTTTATCAACTAAAGTACAGTGTTTATGTAGTTTCTTTTGCCTAGTCTTACAGTCTACTCATTTCCAGGCAGAGTTACTTAGGTCAACACCTGTTTTCCCGACCTCATTCAGTGAAGCCTTTTCATACATTTGTGATACAGTTAGATTATTGTGTCATTTTGTGCATTCCATTCTGGGATCCCTCACCCTCATAAATAATTTTATGTTAATTTGCATACATTAAGGTTCCCTCTCTGTGCTGTAAAATTCTTAGTGAAAATGCGTGTTGCCATGCATTCTCTATTACACTATCATATAACCAGCTCTGAAAGTCCCCTGTGTTTCACCTATGCAACCTTCCCCCAGAAGCAATTGATGTTTTTACTGTTTCTGTAGTTTTGCCTTTCCCACAATGCCATATAATTGAACCCACGCGGTATGTAGCTTGATACAGACTGATTTGTTTCATTTAGCAATTTGTGTTTAAGATTCAGCTATGTGTTTTTTATTTGTTTGTTTGATAGCTCATGTCTTGTTATTGCTGAATAATGTTCCATAGTATTCAGGATGGACCACAGTTTGTTTATCCATTAACTTCTAAAAGAACATTTTGGTTGCTTCCAGTTTTTGGTGATTATGAATAAAGTATCTACAAATGTTCACATGCAGTTTTTATGTGAACCTAAATTTTCAATTCAGTTGGTTGAGTACATAGGAATGCAATTACAGGATGGCATAGAAAGATTATGTTTATTTTTGTAAGAAACTGCCAACTGTTTTCCAAAGTGGATGTAACATTTTGAATTGCAATCAGCAATAAAAAAGAGTTTCTGTTGCTCTGCATCCTCACCAGCAAGTAGTACTGTCAGATATATCATCTGTAAGTATTTTCTCCCAGTCTGAGACTCATCTTTTCATTTTGTTCATTCATTTTTTTCCAGTGTCAAGATTATTTTTAAAAATACTTTATCTTAAAAAACAGTTATATATTTACAGAAAAAATCAGAAATTAGTATAAAGAGTTCCCATATACCGTACACACAGCTTTCCCTATTATTAACATTTTACATATAGTATATTTGGTACAAATCAATGAATTGCTATTGATAAATTATTTTAACTAAATTCCATAGTTTATTCATATTCTTTGTTTTAATGTAATATTTGTTTCTTTTCTAAAATCCTATACAGAATATCCTGTTTGTATCCTATACACTTTGGTCTATAGTTTTCCCTTCTTGAAGTGTCTTATTTTTTTGAGACTGAGTTTCACTCTTGTTGCCCTGGCTGGAGTGTAATGGCGTGACCTCAGCTCACTGCAACCTCCGCCTTCTGGGTTCAAATGATTCTCCTGCCTCAGCCTCCTGAGTAGCTGGGATAACAGGTTCCACCATACCCAGCTAATTTTTTGTATTTTTAGTACAGATGGGGTTTCATCATGTTGGCCAGGCTGGTCTCGAACTCCTGACCTCAGGTGATCTACCCGCTTTGGCCTCCCAAAATGCCCGGATTACAGGCATGAGCCACCACGCCTGCCTTAAAGTGTCTTTATCTGGTTTTGGTATTAGGGTGGTACTGGCCTCATAGAATGAGTTAGGAGGTACCCCTTCTGCTTCTATTATCTGAAAGAGTTTGTAGAGAATTGTTATCATTTATTTCTTAAATGTTTGATGGAATTAGCCATCTAGGCATGGTAATTTCTTTTTTGAAGGTTATCAATTATTTATTAAACTTATTTAATAGATAAAGGCCCATCATGTTATGTATTTATCCTTCCTTGTGTGAAATTTTGGTAATTTGTCCTTCCAGGAATCTATCCACCTCATCTAAGTTATATGTTAGATGAAACTGGCCCATTTTATTTAAGTATATCCATACTTTGGGCATAGAGTTATTCATAATATTCCATTATTACTTTTAATGTCCACAAGATCAGTAACTATAAACCTTCTTTTATTTCTGATATTAGTAATTTGTGTCTTCAATGTTTTTGTCTTCATTAGACTGGTTAGGGAGATTTTCAACTTTGTCTTTTTAAAGATCAGCTTTTGGTTTTATCGACTTTAATGTTTCATCAGTTTATTAATATCGCCACTAATTTTTATTATTCCATTTCTTCTTGATCTAGGCTTAAATTTCCCTTCTTTCTTCAGCTTCCTAATATAGAAGCTTAGATTATTTATTTTAAATCATTTTTCTTATCTAAATATATGAATTTAATGGTATAAATTTCTGTCTAAGCATGCTTTCACCTTACTACACATTTTTTAAAAAATTTTCGATAGTTTTTGGAGAACATGTCATTTTTGGTTATATGAATAAGTTATTTCGTGGTGATTTCTGAGATTTTGGTGCACCCATCACCCACGGGGTATACACTGTATCCAATATGTAGTTTTTTTTATCTCCTACTTCTCTCCCAAATCCCTTATAACATTCTTATGCCTTTGCGTCCTCATAGCTTAGCTCCCACTTACAAGTGAGAACATACAATATTTGGTTTTCCATTCCTGAGTTATTTCACTTAGAATAAAGGCCTCCAACTCCATCCAGGTTGCTGCAACAGCCATTATTTCATTTCATTTTATGACTAAGTAGTATTCCACAGACTAAACAAATTTTGGTAAGTTAGCTTTCATTTTCATTTAGTTAAAAATATTTTTAAATTTCATTTGAGACTTACACGACTCATCATATTTGGAAATGTATTGTTTAATTTCCAAATATTTGGGGGAATTTCCAGCGACCTTTCTGTTATTAGTTTCTAGTTTAATTTTATTTTTGTCTAGGAGCATCTGCTCTATTATTTATATTCTTTTAAACCTTTTAGTGTGTGTTTTGTGGCCAAGAATGTGTTTTATTTTGGTTGTATGGTCTACAGAGCCTTACAAAGAGTGTATACTTGTTATTTTTGAATAGATTCTTTTATAAATGTCAATACGATTAAATTAATCTAATTAATGGGGTTAATCTATTTAGGGTTAACCATATCCTTATTGATGTTCTGCTTCCTTAATCTGTTAATTACCAAAATAAAGATGTTGAAGTCTTCAACAATCTGTTGTCTATTTTTCCTTTCAGTTCTGTCATATTTTGCCTTATATATTTTGATGCTGTCTTCTGTACATTCAACTTTAGGATTGTTCCACCTTCATGAAGAATTGACCCTTCTAACATGATCTAAGGCCACTGTATCTCTGATAATTTCCCCATACTGAAGTCTGCCTTATATGAAATTAATATAGCAGTTACAGCTTTCTTTGACTAGTGTTAACATGGTATATCTTCCTCTATCACTTAATGTTTAACCTGTATTTGTCTTTATATTTAAAGTGGGTTTCTTATAGACAACATAGTTGGGTTTTTAAAAACATTTACTCTGACAATCACTGTATTTAATTAGTATATTTATATAATTCACATTTAAGGTGTTTCTTGATATACAGATACTTTGGTGATATTGCAGGTTTAGTTCCAGACCATCACAAAAACTAAATATTGCAATAAAGAGACCCACACAAGTTTTTTATTTCCTAGTGCATATCAATGTTTATGTTATATAGTAGTCTATTAAGTTTGCAATAGCATTATGTCTAAAAAATGTACATACCTTAATTAAAAATAATTTGTTACAAAATACTAACACTCATCTGAGCCTTCTGGAGTCATTATCTTTTTGCTAGTGGAGGGATTGCCTCAAGGTTGATGGCTGCTGACTGATAAGGGTGGTGATTGCTGAAAGTTTGGGTGGTCAATGGCAATTTCTTCTTCTTTTTTTTTTTTTTTTTTTCCTTTGAGACAGTCATGCTCTGTCACCAGGCTGAGTACAGTGGCATGATCTCGGCTCACTGCAGTCTCTGCCTCCTGGGTTTAAGTGATTCTCCTGCCTCAGCCTCCTGAGTAGCTAGGACTACAGGTGCATGCCACCACGCCCGGATAATTTTTGTGTTTTTAGTAGAAATGGGGTTTCACCATGTTGGCCAGGATGGTCTTGATCTCCTGACCTTGTGATCCACCTGCCTAGGCCTCCCAAAGTGCTGGGATTACAGGTGTGAGCCACTGCACCCGGCCAGCAATTTCTTAAAATAAGAGTACAATGAAGTTTTCCTCATTAGTCAACTCTTCCTTTTATGAAAGATTTCTCTGCAGCATGTAATGCTATTTGATAGCATCTTATCCATAGTAAAATTTCTTTCAAAACTGGACTCAATCCACTCAAACCCTGCCATCACTTTATCAATCAACTAGGTTTATGTAATACTCTAAATCCTTTGTTGTCATTTCAACAATGTTCACAGCAGCATCACCAGGAGATGATTCCATCTTAACCAACCACTTCACTTTCTTTGTTCCTTCCTAAGAAGGAATTCCTCATCTGTTCAAGTTTTATCATGAGATTGCACAAATTCAGTCACATCTTCAAGCTCCACTTCTAGTTTTCTTGTTATTTTCACCACAGCTGCAGTTACTTCCTTCACTGAAGTCTTGAACCCCTCAAAATCATGATAAAGGCTGAAATCAACATGTTCCAAATTCCTGTTAAAGTTAGTATTTTCACTTTCTCCCATGAATCACAAATGTTCTTAATGGCATCTAGAATGGTAAATCCTATCCGGAAGGTTTTCAATTTACTATACCCAGGTTCAGTAGAGAAATCACTGTCTATGGCAGCTATAGCATTATAAAATGTATTTGTTAAATAATAAGAACCGAAAGTCAAAATTACTCCTTGATCCATGGGCTGCAGAATGGATGTTGTATTAGCAGCCATGAAAACAACATTAATCTCCTTGTACATCTTTATCACAGCTCTTGGGTGACCAGGTGCGTTGTCAATGAGCAGTAATATTTTCGAAAGAATCTTTGTTTCTGAGCAGTTCTCAATGGTGGGCTTAAAATATTCAACAAACCATGCTATAGACAGATGCCTTGTCATTCAGGCTTTGTTGTTCCATTTATAGAGCACAGGCACAGTAGATTCAGCATAATTATTAAAGGACCCTGGATTTTCAGATTAGTAAATGAGCTTTGGATTCAATCTAAAGTCACCAGCTGCATTAGCCCCTAATAAGAGAGTCAGCCTGTTCTTTGAAGCTTTGAAGCCAGGCAATGACTTCTCCTCTCCAGATCTGAAAATCCTAGATGGCATGTTCTCCCAAAATAGGGCTATTTTGTCCCCACTGAAAATCTGTTTAGTGTAGCCACCTTCATCAATTATTTTTGCTACATCTTCTGCACATTGGTTGCAGCACTTGCTGCTTCACCTTGCATTTTTATGTTATGGAGACAGCTTCTTGCCTTAAACCTTTTGAACCAACCTATTCCAGCTTCCAACTTTTCTTCTGCAGCTTTCTCACCTCTCTCAGCCTTCAGGGAATTGCAGAATTGTTAGGGTCTTGCTCTGGATTAGCCTTTGGTTTAAGGGAATGTTGTGGCTGGTTTTATCTTCTATCCAGACCACTTGAACTTTCTTCATATCAGTAATAAGACTGTCTTGCTTTCTTGTCATTCAGGTGTTAACTGAAGTAGCATTTTTAATTTCCTTCAAGAACACTTTCTTGTGTACACAGCTTGGCTGTTTGATTCAAGAGACCTAGCTATGGCCTCTCTCAGCTTTTGATGTCCTTTCCTGACTAAGCATAATAATTTCTAATCATTTGTGAGACATGTGTGACTCTTCCTTTAACTTCAAAACTTGTAGAGTATTGTAGGGTTATGAATTGGCCTAACTGCGATATTGTTGTGTTTCAGGGAATAGGGAGGCCTGAGGAGAATGAGAGAGATGTGGGGTTGGGGGGACAGTCAGTCAAGGAGCAATCAGAACACACACAACATTTATGCAATTAAGTTCATTGTCTCACATGGGCACAGTTAATAATGCTCCAGAACAATTACAGCAGTAATACGAAAGATGACTGATAACAGATCATGATAGCAGATATAATAAAAATGAAAAAGTTTAAAAAATTTTGAGAGTTACCAAAATGTGACACACAGATTCAAGGTGAGCACATGCTGTTGGACAAATGCTGCCAACAGACTTGCTAGACCCAGAATTGCCTCAAACCTTCAATTCTTAAAAAATGTATTTTCTGTGAAGAGCAACAAAGTGAAGCGCAATAAAACAAGGTATGACTGTAGTTGGAATTAATATCCACCATGTTTTCATTGTTTTCTGTTCATTACATTTTTTTATTCTGTCTTTTCCTCCTCTTTTCTGCCTTTTCTGGTTTTAATGAGCATTTTACATGATTCCATTTTTCCTCCTATCTTGGTATATCATATTTCTTTTAAAAATGTGTTAGTAGTTGCTCTTGAGTTTCCAACATACATTTTTAACTAATTTGGGTTTACCTTTAAGTAACACTTTACCACTTCATGTTAGTGTAGGTGCCATATAACAGAATATTCCCAATTCTTCCCTCCTATCCCTATGACATCAATGTCATTCTTGTCATTGATGCATATTCCATAATTACTCATTGCATTGATAGAATGTTACTTTAAATAGTTAATCTTTTAGCTCAATTATTTTAAGAAAAAGAGAAAAAAAACTTTCTAAATTTTTTCTCCAACCTGTCCTTTATTTATGTAGATCCAAATTCTGACTTGCATCACTTTCTCTCTCCCTGAATAACTTCTTACATGTCTTACAGGATAGTTCTGATGGCAATGAATCCTTTTGGTTTTCGTTTGTCTAAGAAAGTCTTCATTTCTCTTTCATTTGTGAAGGTTAAATTTTTTAAATATATAATTCCAGACTGGCAGGTTTTTTCTTTCAACACTTCATGATACCCTCTTCTTGCATAGTTTCTTTCTTTCTTTCTTTCTTTCTTTCTTTTTTTTTTTTTTTTTTGAGTCAAAGTCTCACTCTGTTGCCCAGGCTGGAGTACAGTGGCACGATCTCGGCCCACTGCAGCCTCCCACTCCCAGATTCAGGTGAGTCACCTGCCTCAGCCTCCTGAGTAGCTGGGATTACATGCGCTTGCCACCATGCTCAGCTAATTTTTTTGTATTTTTAGTAGAGACAGGGTTTCACCATGTTGGCCAGGCTGGTCTTGAACTCCTGACCTCAAGTGATCTGCCTGCCTTGGCATCCCAAAATGCTGAGATTACAAGCATGAGACACCACACCTGGCCTTCTTGCATAGTTTCTGATCGGAAGTCCACTCTAATTTTTATCGTTATTCTTCTATAGATATTGTTCACTCACTTCCCTTAGGTTCTTTCAAGATTTTTCTTTGTCTTTATATTTTTGCAGCTTAAATATTATATACTTAGGTGTAAATTTTCTTAATTTTTTTAAATTTTTTATTTTTTTGAGATGGAGCCTCGCTCTGTCACCTAGGCTGGAGTGCAGTGGGGCGATCTCGGCTCACTGCAAGCTCTGCCTCCCGGGTTTGCACCATTCTCCTGCCTCAGCCTCCCAGGTAGCTAGGACTACAGGCTCCCACCACCACAGCCTGTTAATTTTGTGTATTTTCAGTAGAGATGGGGTTTCACCCTGTTAGCCAGGATGGTCTCCATCTTCTGACCTCGTGATCTGCCCGCCTTGGCCTCCCAAAGTGCTGGGATTACAGGCGTGAGCCACTGCACCCAGCCTTGATATTTATTTTCTTGGTGTTCTCTAACCTTTCTGGATCTGTGGTTTGAAGTGTGTCATTAACCTTGGAAAGTTCTTGATCATTATTACTTCAGATATTTCTTCTGCTCCATTCTATTTCTTCTCCTTCTTTTGTTCCAATTACATGTGTTTTAGATAGTTTGAAATTGACTCATGGTTTTTAAATGTTCTATTCTGGTTTTTTTTTTTTTTTCAATCTTTTTTCTCTTTAAATCTCAGTTTGGACAGATTCTATTGTTCTATCTTCAATCTCCCTAATTCTTTGGCAAGGCCCGATTCTACTGATGAGTCAATCAAAGGCATTCTTTATTCTGTTAACATCTTTTTGACTTTTACCATTTTCTTTTGATTCTTAGATCTTTCATTTCTCTGCTTACATTACTCATCTGTTATTGCATGTTGTCAATTTTTTTCATTAGAGATCTTAACATATTAATTGTGGCTGTTTTAAATTCCTGATCTGATGAGTCCGGCATTTGTTTGACATCTGAGTCTGCTTCTGATGCTTGCTTTGTTTCTTCAGATTGTGTTTTTCATTGTTTGCTTGGTTATTTCCTTTTTCTGGTATGCTTTGTAATTTTTGGTGAAAGCTAGATGTGTTGTATTTTGTAGTAGGAACTGAGGAAAATGGCCATTTAGTTTGTGGATTTGCGTTAGGGTTGGTATTGAACTGTGATTGACATGTGCTTTAGCTTTAGGTGCCAGAGGCTTCAAATCCTTTATTGTTCTTGTATTTATCCCCTCTCTTGACTCTGAGCTTCCTAACCACTCCTCCTCAGAGAGCGCCTGTTTCTTGCAGCAATTTCAGCAACAATCCACTAATATTATACAGAAACCCTATTGGTGTGGAGGTAAGGTGTGGGAGATGGAATGAGTTCTATACTCTCACAATTAAATTTCAGTCTTTGAGTGGATCTGTGACTCAGGGCTGTGACTTTCACAATTGTTTCTTCAGTGGCATGGTTTTTCGTTTTGTTTTGTTTTGTTTTTTCCCGGCCCAATGTGAAGCAGGAAGGCTAGAGTTGGAGGAAAGCCTTCACTTAAAAAGGTGAATCCTTTTCTCTATAGACTAGGCCATTTTTATGGAGAAGGCACTGTGACTATTTCACAATAACTTCTCTGTCACTTTTCCTACCAGAGTCCAGAGGGGATTTTTCTTAAATATTCACAGTGAGAGCCTGGTTAGTTTCCTGGTTAGTTTCATACAGAAGTGTGAAAACTCTTCCAAGATTGTGGCTCCCAAAAGTTCCTCATTGTCACCCTAGGCCACACACAGTGTCTACAAATTCATCAAAATTGCCACTTAAATATTTCTACAAGTTTGTGTTTCCACTGGCTGCTGCTTATCTGTGATCCTCTAGATTCTCAGATTTTCTTGTTGTGGTTTGCCACACCACTTCAGCTTTCTGCTGGGTCTAAAAAAAGTAGTTGTTTTTCACTTTGTCAGCTTTTTCTTCTTGTAAAGGCAGAAGTGACAGCTTCCAAGCTTTTTACACACCAAATCTGAAAGTGGAAGTCCTATTTATGTTATACTCAAAACAGTTAATAACAATATTAAAATATAATTTGTCTTTAATGTATATAGCTTTTAATTTGTCTTTAATGTATATAGCTTTGCTACTTTTAATTTTTTTTTTTTTTTTTTTTTTTTTTTTTTTTGAGATGCAGTCTTGCTCTGTCACCCAGGCTGGAGTGCAGTGGCGTGATCTCGGCTCACTGCAACCTCCACCTCCCAGGTGCAAGCGATTCTCCTGCCTCAGCTGGAGTAGCTGGGATTACAGGCACCTGCCACCATGCCCAGCTAATTTTTGTATTGTTTTTAGTAGAGACGGGGTTTCACTGTGTTAGCCAGGCTGGTCTCAAACTCCTGACCTCATGAGATCTGCCCACCTGGGCCTCCCAAAGTGTTGGGATTACAGGTGTGAGCCACCGTGCCCGGCCTACTTTTAATTTTTTTTAAATGTTTTTGAAAATCGGTATCATTTGAAAATATTTCTCAAACGTGCTGGATTTGGACAATAAACTCTGAGAAAACTCAAGCACCTATAGTTATAAAGCCCTGTGCAAGTGTTTGCCTTTAGTACCTTATGGTCATTTATAAAGACTCACTGTCCAGTTATTGCAAGATTCAAATATGTTCCAAAATACAGCCATGTCCTTGTATCAGAAGTAAATAATATAGACTGCACAATGATTAAAGTATACTTACCTATGTCATGTACAAACAGCAGTTATCCCCATCAAGTTGATGAGAACGTTGTTTATCATCTGTTTGTCTAGATAAACCAAATACATTTCTGTGATGAGGAATTTTCTTTGATTTGAATTAAATTACTTTTATTCCTAGGTGGGAGTAGATGTTAGCAATAATAATTTTCTTAGAAGTTAGAGAAAAGGAAACATCTGACTTCCTCTGTTTATAACAGAAATTTCCTTTGCTCCACATTAGAGGGGCCAGTGGTTCAGAGATCTTTTCTTTCTCAGATGACATTTTCTATAACTGCCAAGTTAGATATATCAAAAGAACAGCAAAAATGAAAAAGTAGATGTACACACTTGAAAAAAAGTGTTTAACACTTAAGTCATTCTTAAAAAGCAAGAAATTTTGCTTCAGAAATTTTGCCTTTGAGTATTTGAAACTATAGACTAGAGGGCGCATTGGAAAAGAACTAACACGTCTATTTTGAGTTCTTTATTTGAGATTCAGAAATGAAGGATATCACTGAAGTAGGCACAATAAAGGAGCATGTCAACAATAACTTCACAGATAAATTTACCAGCCAGGCACAGTCTTGCACCTGTAATACCAGCTTCTCAGAAGTCTGAGGTAGGGGGGTCGTTTGATTCTAGGAGTTCACGGCTACAGAGAGCTATGATTGTGCCACTGTACTCCAGCCTGGGCTACAGAGCTAGACCTTGTCTCTGTACAAATGAAACATGCACAAAAATCAAATTAATGCACTACCTATTATTATTTATTGCATATAAAATCAAGACTAAATGCACATTAAGAAAGCATAATATTATATCGATGTTAAGGAAACATCTACACAATGTTGTTGACTCCACCATAAAAATAAATTTAATAAGTCTGAAATTTGAACTAGTTGTTTTAAAAAGCAGTCATCATCTAGTTCCCAAATCTGAGTTTCTAATTCTACTCTCTAACAAAATAAAGCAGAGCTCCATGCAGAAATGGCTATTCCAGGGCTGGGGCAGGGAATATACAAGATGAGACCGGAGCATCTTATTCTACCAGAAAGTAAGAAAATGCTTTAAAGACAAGCAAACAAACACTTGACCTATGTTCATGGGACAAAGGAGCCATCTGAATGGGCTTTTTTTGAGCAATAAGATTAAAAAATGCAGTATTGTATTATAACCCAAAGCATAAAATAAATATCCATGAGTCTATACTAATATAAATAATTGATCGAATAATAAGTAAGTGGGTGAGAATAGATGAATGTCCAATATTGAAGAATTCCAAATAATTGATGTAGATACCATACCCTGAAGGAGCTGGAATGTAACTCTCCACTCCTTAAGTGTGGGCTGTGTAATGACTCCCTTTCAAAGAATTCCATCTGGAAAGAGGGGGAAGTTAGTAACTGTACAGTGGAGACACCTGACAAACAGTACTTCAGCCAGATGGTCAAGGACAACATCAGCCGTGATAAGTTGTGCTGGCAATATATATTGTTGGTGCCATGAGGATGGCACTGTCCCTCTGTGGCCTTCCTCCCCAAAACTGGCAACTTCTGTCTATCGATGAGGAAATACAAGCAGAGAGACAGTCCTTGAAATATGTGACCAATGACTGGGCATGGTGGCTCACACCTGTAATCCCAGTACTTTGGGATGCCAAGGCCAGTGAATCACGAAGCCAGGAGATCGAGATCATCCTGGCCAATATGGTGAAACCCCGTCTCTACTAAAATACAAAAAATTAGCCAGGCATGGTGGTGCGCACCTGTAGTCCCAGCTACTCAGGAGGCTGAGGCAGGGGAATTGTTGGAACCCAGGAGGCAGAGATTGCAGTGAGCCAAGATCACGCCACTGCACTCCAGCCTGGCAACAGAGTGAGACTCCATCTCAAACAAACAAACAAACAAACAAAAACAACCACAACAAAAAAACACCAATACTCTGCAAGGCTGTTAAGGTTAGCAAAAACAAAGGTAGTCTGTCACAGTTAAGGAGAGCCTGAGCTGGGTACAGTGGCTCACATGTGTAATCCCAGTTTAGGAAGCCGAGATGGGAGGATCAGTCGAGGCCAGGGATTTGTGACCAGCCTGGGCAACATGTGGAGTCTCCATCTCTACAAATAATTTAAAAATTAGCCTGGCATAGTGGTTCATGCCTATAGTCCTAGCTGCTCAGGAGGCTAAGGTGGGAGGATCATTTGAGCTCAGGAATTTGAGGCTGCAGTGAGCTATGGTCCTGCCACTGCAATCTAGCCTAGGTGGCAGGGTGAGACTCTGTCTCAAAAAAGAAGAAAAAGACCCGGAGGAGATAAGGCCGCTAAATAGACTGTGGCATTCTGGATAGGGTCCTGTAACATGAAAAAGGACATCAGGTAAAAACTAAGAAAATTCTAATAAAGAAAGGACTTTGGTTATTAGGAATACAGCAGTACTGGTTCATCAATTGTGACAATTAGACCGTACTAATGTAAGACGTAAATAACAGGAAAAACTGGGAGTGGGAGTTTTTCTGTAAACTTAAGACTACTCTAAAATTTTAAAAAGCTCATTAAAAATTAATCATCATAAATTTTCCATCAGTGTAAAGAATTAGCTGGAGGGGGACTAAGACAATATGTCAATTAACTTAAAAAACAGTCCCTTGCTTTTGCTTTACTTCTGCTGCACTGAGAATGAGAGTCCATTCGTTTGTTTGCTCAACAGGTATATTTTGAACACAAGCTGTGCACTAGGTTCTTTGCCAGGTCAGTAGATATACAGTCATGAGCAAAATAGGTTAATATTTTGGCCACTGCTCCATAGCCCGTGAGAAGGGAAACAATAGCTAAATATATGATTCAGAACACCTATAAGTGCTATGAAAGGAAAGTACAGAGAAGTATAGACCTTCTCAAAGATGAATCTGATCTCTTCATATGGGAGATAGAAATGTGGTCAGGGCATGTCCCAGAGGGAGTGAAGTTGAGGCTGAGATGTGAAGCGTGCGTGAGAATTGAGGGGAGTTTCGGGGCAGGGAAGATGGTCTTGACAGGAGGAACAGCATGTGCGAGAGCCGTGAGGACTGGGAACATAGTATGTTGCAAGAACCGAAAGGAGATGAGCGTAGCTGGAGTGAAGAGCACGGGGAGAAAGAAACCATGCTTTTGACAATGGATCAAAACACCTTTCTCTTACTCTAGGCTGCATTTAGAAGTACAGTGGTCCAGGGAGGAAAAGGAGGTCACATTCCACTATCTCCATATCTCCCTGGATCCCTGTTGTGCTCTACAACCTTACACATCTGTGCCTCTTTCTAGAAGGCATAGTGACCCTTGGTTGTAAATGAAGCTGGCTGTATTGTAAGGAAACCCGAGCCCCAGCTCTTTGTAGGCTCTTCCATGGAGACTTACTATTTTCATATTCCAAAGATCAGAGAGGCCAAACTGGTACTGACATCCTCCTGGGTCCCAGCCCCACTTCTACTGCCTCCTTTAGCGTACTCTCAGATATGAGGCCTTTCCTTCTATGCCCAAACCCTGAACAAAAGCGTATCACGCTTCTCATCTGGCTTGCTCATAAATGTATTGCAGGACTTAGGATGTGATATTGCAGTATTTTCTTTGCATCTGTTTGTACTACATCACTATGAGCTCTTTAGGGAAGGACCATGTCTTGTTTATTAGGAATTAATAAATACTTATTAAACGGATAATTAAAATAAAGCTGATGTAATCACTCACGAATTAGAACTTCAATGTTGAATTCATTCCCTTTAAGTTTTATCTGAGATGAGTAGCCCAGATAGCAGGTGGTCTTACCTTGCAATAATCATTGACAAGTGGTTAGGGGGAACCTAATCAGACCAGAAATGTGGTGTGCCACATCTGCTGCCTGTGACTCCAGGCCTCAACGGTGTTTTTTCTGTGTGTGTGTGTGTGTGTGTGTGTGTGTGTGTGTGTGTGTGTGTGTGGTTTTTTTTTTTTTTTTTTTGAGACGGAGTCTCGCTCTGTCGCCCAGGTTGGAGTGCAGTGGCGCGATCTCGGCTCACTGCAAGCTCCACCTCCCGGGTTCACGCCATTCTCCTGCCTCAGCCTCCCCAGTAGCTGGGACTACAGGAGCCGGCCACCGCGCCTGGCTAATTTTTTGTATTCTTTTTTAGTAGAGACGGGGTTTCACCGTGTTAGCCAGGATGGTCTCGATCTCCTGACCTCGTGATCCGCCCGCCTTGGCCTCCCAAAATGCTGAGATTACAGGAGTGAGCTACCGTGCCCGGCCTGTGGTGTTTTTTTTTTTTCCCCCCCGACTTTCTCATTTTCACAAAAATACATGAACTTCTTTGGGCTAGTCCGTATTTGAGAGTTCAATCCATTCTTCAGAGTAAAGCTGCTCTTTCTTTATCAGCCCTAGCACACAGAAAATACATGTGTACCTCGCCACACGTTCCCATGGGCCCACCTCTGTTATGGACTGTGGTACAGACCAGAGACAGCCCAGCTTGGATGGAGTCCTAATGGTACTCGCTATGATGTCATTCTTCAGCTTCCACTGAAGCAAACACTTTGAAATGCACGAGAGTGACGCTGTTGCAGGGATGACCTTGAATCCACTCTGATTTATTTTTCAAGCAAATCTCACACACATTAGAGTGTTTTACTAAAATTAGTAACCTTTTGAACACAACTCACAAATGATCTTGACAAACTAAAATGTTTAATTTCTATCTCATTTAATATAGTCACTTTGAATAGGGAAGACATGGGCTGAGTAAATCTTCTCTTACCAAACTGTTAAAGACATTGTTTTGGCTGGGTGTGGTGGCTCATGCCTGTAATCCCAGCACTTTGGGAGGCCGAGGTGGGCGGATCACCTGAGGTCAGGAGCCGGCCAACACAGCGAAACCCCATTGCTACTAAAAAAAAAAAAAAAAAAAAAAAAAATACAAAAATTAGCTGGGTGTGGTGGTGGGTACCTGTAATCCCAGCTGCTCGGGAGGTTGAGGCAGGAGAATTGCTTGAACCCAGGAGGCAGAGGTTGTGGTGAGTCGAGCTCATGCCATTGCACTCCAGCCTGGGCAACAAGAGTGAAACTCCATCTCAAAAAAAAAAATAAACAAAAAACCATTGTTTTAGAGCTAATCTTGACATAAAAGTGAGAATCATATCATGGTCAGACTATTTCATTTCTATCATCAAAACTGTTGATTAAAACATTAATATGATGCTATTTATGGGCTCTCAGAGCAGCCAAGTGTTGTGAAGGTTGCAAACTATGCAACTCCAGGAGTATTAGTCAACTACATGTGCTGTTTACTTGTTGTGCAGTTTAACCTTACAGTTTTATGCTCTGAAGACCTTCCTGAGGTATTTTGTGATACATCAATATCAAGTTATTGATCATTGATTTACCAATATCAGACACCAGACAGCTTTGAGTTTATTCATTATATTAGATTTCTGTGTTTTATTGATGAGACTATTACTTAAGAAATCAAATTATTGACTGTGGTTCTGTTATATCAGTGAACATATTAAAACTTTTCACTTAATTTGTTCTTGGTTTAAATGATTGCTATGTGCTGACATTTCACCAGTTTTATTATTATAAAATCCTGATTACATGTCATATAATTCATCTTGAAATTATAGAGTCATTGATTTCTGCTCTGAGAAGGAAACATACATTTTCCCCAACCAATATGCTTGAATGATGGGAATTAGACCTCTTAAACTCTCTAGTGTTCATCAATACTGTATAATTATAGTATAGGTCATTTTATTTCCCAAATGAGATATGTGGCAATTCAAGAGAGATTAAAAGCGCTAGGATCCAGCCCAGGAACTGTGAACCTTTCTGGTGTGGCAGCATATTTTCTATAGTAGAATCTATAAGATTCTCTCTACTCAATTTCTCTATGATAAGCTTATTTGTTCCATTAATTTTATCAACAGAAAGAATTAAAAAATGAATGAATCCTGTTAAAAGTAAATTTTTAATAAGCTGACTATTATAACTATTATTTACATAAGAGCTCCAGATTTTTATAACAAGGCCTAAGTTAATTCAAGGTAAGTTTCAAATGTAGTCTCTACAGAGAGACATATTATTTGCTGGTACAAAACACACCTCTAGTGCTACTATTTTTATGAGTGTGTTTCCAAGAACTGAATTTCTAAGATCTCACATTATAGTTCTGTAGATAATGAGATATCACATTTGTCCATGGTGGCTGAAACTCAATTTCATGCTGTCAACTAAGAACTGTGTATTCCAAGAAAGCTGTCCAAGGCTCCCAGCCAGGAGTACTATACCACATACATTACCTACCAACCAGATGATGAAGCATATCGAAACTGGATCCTACCAGACATTTACTATTAAATGAATAATGACTAAGATGAACCAGTTGAAGTTCGGACTTGAAAAGGAGGACAGATATAAAATGTAGTCCAACAGAAGGAATGTTTAAAAAAGAAACAGCTGCTTACCATCAACTTGCTTCCCGTAGCGAATCTTTTTTCCTAGTCATTAAAACACTTTTTTCTAGGCCATGTACAATGTTTGAAATAGTTATTTTGTCAACACACATCTGCATAATCTCAAAGGCTACATCATGTGACTTAACAATGCAATTAGTAGCATTTCATTTGGAGAGGTCCAAAAGAATATTTAAAAAATAAGAAAATGCCTTCAATAAGAGGCAAATGGATGTGTTCTAGAAGAATAATGATAACTTTTTACATCAGTGCATAATAACTGTCCATTTTGTTATTGCTTTACAAATAGAAATGAAAAGATTAGCAGAAATATGAAAAAATAGACTGTACTCACGGAAGTGATAAAACAAAGTTCACATGAGACTTAAAATCAACATACTCTTACCTTGCTAAATTACCAGTTTATTTGAAATAAGTATAGTGATAATTGCTCTACAAGTATTTAAATTCATTTTATTTTAGCAATTCATTTAGCAATTTTAAAAAGACACTTCAGGGCTGGGCATGGTGGCTCATGCTTGTAATCCCAGCACTTTGGGAGGCCAAGGCAGGCAGAGTACCTGAGACCAGGAGTTTGAGACCAGCCTGGCCAACGTGGTGAAACCCCGTCTCTACTAAAAATTAGCTGGGTGTGATGGCACACACCTGTAATCCCAGCTACTTGGGAGGCTGAGGCAGGAGAATTGCTTGAGCCCGGGAGATGGAGGTTGCAGTGCGCCGAGATGGTGCCACTGCACTCCAGCCTGGCCCACAGAGCCAGACTCTGTCTCAAAAAAAAAAAAAAAAAAAAACCCAACACTTGATTGTCTTTGTAAAATTTTTATAGATTTAGGGGGTACGAGTGCAGTTTTGTTACATGGATCTATTACGTAGTGATGAAGTCTGGGCTTTTAGTGTAACCATCCCTCAAATAGTATACGTGAACATCTTTCAAAAGAAGACACTCCACTGTTTTTTGATGATAATGAAGGATTATAGAGAGAGTACTGGTATAATGGTAATAATTTATTATGCTATACATAGTGTTAATACCTATAGAAAAATAGATAGTTGTCTAAGTACTTGTAGCATAAATTAAGTCACAAGTAAGATTTTTTAATATGCAAAGATAAAATTTCCATATAAGATATGTCTGCTGTAGATTAGTAGGATGAAATATATATATGATTATTGGTATTCATTACTTATCGTGACTGTTGGCCGCAGGGTGGCAAATAGGTGTCAACTTATGTGAAAATTCTAGTTGATCAAAAAGTGCTGCCGGCTGGGCACGGTGACTCATGCCTGTAATTCCAGCACTCTGGGAGGCCGAGGCGGGTGGATCACGAGCTCAGGAGATCGAGACCATCCTGGCTAACATGGTGAAACCTCGTCTCTACTAAAAATACAAAAAAAAGCCGGGCGTGGTGGCAGGCGCCTGCAGTCCCAGCTACTCGGGAGGCTGAGGCAGGAGAATGGCGTGAACCCGGGAGGCGAAGCTTGCAGTGGACCGAGATCGCGCCACTGCACTCCAACCTGGGCGACAGCGAGACACTGTCTGAGGGGGGGAAAAAAAAAAAAAAGATGCTGCCTGGGCTGCTGTGTTCAGAAAGATTCTGAGTCCTCATTGAGAAAATGTGTAATGATGGGTTTCTGATGTTTGGGATGTGGGTGGTGAGTGATGGCCCATCTAAGTACCTAATATTTACTATCCTTAGGACTAATACAGCTTAGAAATTAACTGAAAAGTCAAAACAAATTATATTATTTATATATCCCTGAATATATATATTTAACATTCTATCACACAAAACCAAAAGAAATTTAATTAAATGTTCAGTGAAGGTTTTATTTTTCTCCCTTTAAATCATAGCTAATGACCAGGCCCAGTGGCTCATATCTGTAATCCCAGCACTTTGGGAGGCCCAGGTGGGAAGATCACTTGAGACCAGGAGTTCAAGCCCAGCCTGGGCAACATAGTGAGACCCTGTTTCCACAAAAATTACAAAAATTAGCTGGATGTGATGGCACACACTTGTAGTACCAGCTACTCAGGAGGCTAAAGCAGGGAGGATCTCTTGAACCCAGGAAGTCGAAGCTGCAGTGAGCTATGATTGCAAGACAGCAAAATCCTGTCTCAAGAAAAAAAAACATAGGTAATACTTTCTGTGGTACATGGAGCCTTGCATAATGTTTTCATGTTTGGGACACTTTTCGGTTAGAAAAATAAAGTGGAGAGATGATAGCAGAAAGCATAAGTCCTACTCTTGGCAGAGTTTATAAAAAACCACTTAACATACATACGAACCAAGAGTCAAATTTCTTATAAACTGCTTGGATAGTGAATTCTAGAGTGTTTCTAAATCAGAGTTTACAAGAACTCAAACACATAAACAGTGACAGTGAAGACTGGCTGTAATCCAAATAGCTAAAAATGGTTGAAAAAAATTATAATTACAGCTTGAAAATGTAAGTTATAGAAAATACATTCCTTGAGTCATTGACAGTATAAACATTCTAACTCCAAATGCCTCTCATCTCTAGATAAATCTTCTGGAATTTAAAAAATAAATGTAAGGATTTTCAAAGCTTTTGGTTAATACTGAGAGCACCACAAGAAAGATCACTGAAGGTTTGAGAAACATAATTGGAAAATTTGACTACTTTTGCCACCATACAAATGTATCTGCCTGAAGGGAAAATTTAAACATTAGGACTAGGGTGAGATTAGAGCTTTATGTATAGGATAACTTATGTATAACTAATAGACACCTCCCAAATGAACAATGTGAAAAAGAATAGCAGTCTCATTTTGAAAATACTTTAAAAAAAGTTTTATGTTCCTTAAGCTTCTATTTAAAATGAGTTGACCCTTATCTGATTTGATAGTTAGTTTTCAAAGGAAGAATGAGTCATGTCAGAAATGTTGTCAATTTTGCTTTTATGAGGTTTGGCAAAGGACTTTCTATTTTCTCCATATTTTATGAGATCTCAAAATAGATTTAGGAATTCCCCCCCACCCACTCCCGCTCTAGAGTGAACATTGTGATATTAACTATAATTATTTTAAAAGAACTTTCAGCTTCCAAAGGGCTTTTCACCTATATTATGTAGCTTTGTTAATCCTGTCAACCTGATTCAATATGGAGCGGAGGTGCCAGCATCCTTGTTGTACAAATGACAGCATTAAGACATGGCTGATTAAGGGGTTTTCCAAGGACACATGGTTGCTATGAGGCAAAGTAGGGAGCTAAAACCCAAACTGTCTGACTCACTGATGAATTGTTTTCCAGACCACTTTATGTGGAATGCTATGGGAGGTCTTGAGGAGTATGACTTCTGACTCTTCTTTAAGAACAAATGCCCTTCCTCTACCGACAGAATAATAAAGGTATAGGAATACATGCCGTTTTGTTTTGTTTTGTTTTGTTTTGTTTTGAGACGGACTTTCACTCTGTTGCCAGGCTGGAGTGCAGTGGTGAGATCTCAGCTCACTGCAACCTCCACCTCCTGGGTTCAAGCAATTCTCCTGTGTCAGCCTCTGTAGTAGCTGGGATTACGGGCACACGCCACCATGCCCGGCTATTTTTTGTTTGTTTGTTTTTGTATTTTTAGTAGAGACATGGTTTCACCATGTTGGCCAGGATGGTCTTGGTCTCTTGACCTCATGATTCGCTTTCCTCGGCCTCCCAAAGTGCTGGGATTATAGGCGTGAGCCACCGCACCTGGCTGGAATACAAGCTTTTAATAAAGGCCCCAGAAAATCTCTCTGCAGAAAAAGTTTTAGTGTTGTGCTGCATAATCTTTTTATTATTTCTCCTTTTCTCCTTTCATGCCATCTCCCTGAATGACTTCAGTCCCTCCACAGCTTTGCTCATCATCTGTACTTTGATGACTCCCATCATTGTATCTGCAGCTCAGATTTCCCTTCTTCTGTAGCCTCCAACCTAAATGTGTATCCACCTACTGGATACCTCTACTTGAATGCCTTCCAGAGGAGCCAGAGTCAAACTGTTCCAAAAGGAATTTACTGTCTTCCCTCTTCACCTGCTTCCCCTCTGTGTTTTCTGTATGGGGATTCATGTCATCCTTTACTAAACAAACGAAAACTTGAACTGTATCATTTCTTCCTCCCTGTGATCCCTCATAGCCACGCACTCTCCAGCTGCTGATGATTCAGTTTTTCTAACACTTCTTAAATCCTGTGGGCCTTTGCCATTCTTACTGCATTTATCTAGGTCAGGCCTCCATGATTTTTCCCCTAGATTTAGGCCTACACTTTCTGACTGGCCCCTCTTCTTGCAATCTGTCCTGTTTCTCACTCAGTTTCCACATTACAGTCAGCCATCAATGGCTACCCAAAGGATTTAGGATCATGTTTTAACTCTTTAATGTGGCCTATAGTCTCAGCTATGTGAGAGGCTGAGGCAGGAGGAGTGCTCGGTCCCAGGAGATAGAGGCTGTGGTGAACCATGACTGTGCCCCTGCCCTCCAGCCTGGGTCACAGAGCAAGACCCTGTCTTAAGTAAGTAAGTAAGTAAGTAAATAAATAAATAAATAAATAAAGTGGCCTGTAGAGCTTGCCCCATCTGGCTCATGGTTATTGACCCAGCTTCATGCTATATCTCTTTCTGCCTCACTGTCTAAGCTCAAGCTATATAAAAATCAAGTCTTAAGCTATACTGAGTTTCACGTTGGGACTCTTCCTTTATTTATGCCATTCATAAATGGTAACACTAGTCTGCCATAATGTCCAGTTTTTCACAGTGTGGTGTCCCTTTCTGCCCATTGGAATATTATACCTCTTTGTCCTGCAGACATAGCCAGGTGATTTGTTTAGCCTAGGGAAATGTAAACAAAAGTGACATCTATCATTTTTGGAGGATACCTTTAAAAGCCATGTTAAGGATAATGGCTTTAAGAGCCATTCAGTGTGATCTTTCTTCAGTCTGCCACAAGACAGGCAATGTCCCACATGGAGGATAATTCATCAGCCTATGTCCTGGAAAGAAGACATGGAGCAGAGATGTGGTCAGCACATGATGGCTACAAATGTGAGATTGTAAGGGTCATCCAATGTCAGGCAGACCTACAGAAGTTTTTACAAGGAGGTTTGAGGAATAACAATCTTCCTTAATCTGGCTTATTTGCATGATCTCTTCTTTATTTTGTGTGTTTTCATCAAAGATGTTGAGCAATGTAATTCTAGAATTGTGAAAATTTTAGTTTTACATTAGATCTTACGGACATAGAATGAATACATAATAAACCTTTCTAATTCTAAACTACTGAGACTTGGATGTCTTTTTTGTTTTCTCAGCATGGCTTAGCCTGCTTTTACTGTTACTTCTGCCTTGGAAAGTCTTCTTCCCCCTCTTTGACCAGCTAACTCCCATCCATTGTCTCAGCTGAGATTTCATTCTCTTAGTAATCCATCTCTAATTCCTTGGCTGAATGGCACTCTTGTGTTTCTGTGTCACTCTGTACTTCTCCTAATATTGTTGATTACACCGCACTGTAATTTCTTGGTTATTGTTTGTGTCCCTACTAGATGGCCAACTCTGCAAGGGCATGGTTCATTTCTTCCTTGTTTATCATTTTAGTCCTATCTCTTAGTACCTAGTAAACGAATGTTATGCAATAACTATGTTGTATGAAAGAATGATAAATAAATAAATGTGGGAAAAGTAGTCAAAAGTAAATCAATTCTCACATCCCCAAATACTGTGAAAGATTTTCAACTTCAAAACTGCATAAGCAAGAGCCATAATTGGAAATTTTCTTTACTGTGGTAACAGATGGAACACTGAAAGGAAAACTTATCATTGACATTTAACACATACCAGTGCCACTTTCTGTTATCACACATTTACAAACTACAGAGCTCTGTGAAAAGTTTTAATTATAAATTGTAGTCTAGATTACATTTTTGTTCTATGAGTCCCTTGAAAGTGTTCAATTTCATTGTGGTAGTCATGTCCCGTAACAGCTCCACTAGCGATAAAGGACAATTTATCTCAAGATCACAAATGTGAGACAGTAATGGGGCTATTCAATTTCAGGCAAAACCTATAGAATTTTTTTTCTCAAGGAAGCTTTGTGGGTAAAAATCTTCCTTAATCTGGATTATTTATATTCTCTCTTCTTTATTATGTGTGTTTTTATCAAAGACGTCAGGCAGTGTGATTTTAATCTAGAATTGTGGCAATTTTCGTTTTACATGAAATCACAGGACAGTTTTAGTTTGTTGTGTTATATGTTACTGACTTCCTAGAATAAGTGTCATCTATGCAATAGGTTTGCAATAAATTTTTATTTCCAATCTACACCTTCCTCTTACTACTGCTTATATTTTTTCCTTCACTATCAAGTCTCTTTGAAACATTAAAATAATATTTTATATATTTTCACCTACATTTTCTAACATCTCTTACTTTTTACTTTTAATGCTCTACCCAAACTCACAAACACACACATCCACACACACACACACACACACAGAGGCCAGGTCAAATATTTTGACTTGAGGCCATGAAATCCAGTGACAAAGGTCTACTAAACTTTCTAAAATTTGTTTCTATATTGCATATATTTTTAATTTTCTGTATATTATGATACACAGAAAATCTTAAAAACCTTTCTGATGGGGAAAAGACTGTCCCTACTGGAGCTAGTCAATTCTCAGAGATCTAAAGCAGGAGTGTGCCTTTCACATCCAAACTCAGCAATCCAGAGATATGCATCCTCTATCTGGCCTGTGCATCCCAGGGGGCAATATTTCTCTGCCTTAATCATCCCAGGGCCAGGTACCAGGCAACTAGGGACTACCCCTATAGTTCAGAGCCCACTGACATTATTATTACCCAGGCCTAAACTGTTTTCTCTTCCTTCCCTTTTTTTTTAACCCCCTATGGAAACTCCAGTAAAGGCTCTGGACTAATGCTTATGCTTTCCCCCTGACTCCTGCCCTCTGCCATCTGACTTAAATCTGGTGCTTCCCCAGTGATCCTGTATGGTATACAATGACCCCCTCTCAAGAATATGCGAGTAAAATAAACTTTCTTTTCTTTTCCTCCTTTTTTTTTTTTTTTTTTGAGACAAAGTCTCACTTTCTTGCCCAGGCTGGAGTGCAGTGGTGTGATAAAAGCTCACTGCAGCCTTAATCTCCTGATCAAGCAATCCTCCTGTCTCAGCCTCCTCAGTAGCTGGGACTACAAGCAGGTACCACCACAGCTGGCTATTTTTTGTGCTTTTTGTAAGGACAGGGTTTCGCCATGTTGCTCAGGGTGGTCTCAAACTCCTGGACTCAAGTGACCCACCTGCCTCAGCCTCCCAAAGTGCTGGGATTATAGGCTTGAGCCACCGTGCACGGCCCAGCCAAACGTTAATTTCTTGTACCTCTCCTGGGTCTTGTCTCATGGCTGCACTTTATTGAACGTCACAAAAAAAGAGCTCAGAGCAGCCTCATGTATTTTCCTTCTTTTTGCCATACCCTTTTAGATTGTTTGTTTGGGTGGTCATCTAGGCTTTTGACTCAGATTCTTTCTAAAATGACATCTTGGACTACCCCTCTGTGCCACACATTTTAGTCCATGGGCAAGAGATGCCTTAAATTATAATTGACCCAGGCTCCCAGATACTGCACCCCCAACTCTGGCTCAGTATTTTTATTCCTGATTACTTGGGAAGGAAAAAATTGAGGATTATATGTTCTTTTGTTCCCCTCCAGCACCCTGGAGCACCACTTGGGCCTTGTTGAGAATTCTGCTTGATCTGAGGGACTCTGAACATTTAGTTTTAATGTCACAACCTGGAAAACAGAGGCTTCTAAACCAAAGTCATAAAGTGTTAGGCCTGAAAACCTCTTATGACACATAGACTAATGTCTCATCTCTTAGATGAAGACATTTAAAGCCACAGACTTTAATGGTTTACTTATTATTAGAGCTAATAAGTAGAAAGTGAGGAAGTAGAAACTAAATCTTCTAAACTTTTGAGTACTCTTTTGTTTAGACTTTTCTATCTTTTGCTTTCTGTCTCTTTTTTTTTTTTAATCAACTTTTACTTTAGATACAGGGGGTTACATGTGAATGTTTGTTACATGGATACATTGCACCCAGGTAGTGGTGATAGTACCCAAATGGTAGTTTTATTTTTCTTTATCTTCTTTTCTCCTTTCTTTCTTTCTTTCTTTCTCTTTCTTTCTTTTCTTTTTCTCTCTTCTTTCTTTCTTTTTCTCTCTTCTTTCTCTTTCTTTTTCTTTCTTCTTTTCCTTTCCTTTCCATTATCACAGTACCTATTTCTCATATAGTTTCTGAACTTCATTGGTCTTACTGCAGTTCACATTTTAAATGAAGCCCATCAGTGGATCTGTTGTACAGTACCAGGCATGTTGCACGTGAGGTCACTAATGAATAGTAAATTTCATAAACTGATTTCCTAGATGAATGGATTGGAAGAGAACATAGGAACTAGAGCAGTGGTTAACTGGGGATTAAAAATGGCTCAAGGCTTTCAGCCTGGTGGAAGGCAGGCAGATAGTATGTACGTGCTTGCGCTTGAGGTAACACAGTGCTAAGGCTTTTTTGGGAGAGGCGAGAGGAAAGATGATAAACTTAGGTTTAAATAAACAGAGTTTAAGATGATAGTAATGTATCCAAATGGAAATATCTAATAGACAGTGATGATGATACAAGAAAAGAAGAAAAATCAGGACTGATGAAAGATGTAGATAGGAAGAGGCTCTTTAAGCAGTGAGTGTGACTGTGAAGAGAAAATACAGAGATAGGCAAGAGAGATGAGCCTGTGGTCAAAATTAGCACTTCTAGCAAAGGAAGCAGAGAAGGAACAGCCAGACGTGTTCTTCTCTGAATAACAGTGATATAGTTTCCTGGAATCCCAAAGTAGAGAGATTCTGCAGGAACAGCCAGGATTGGGAGTAGCAGGAAGTGTGGAAATGTTATATGGCTTATCCAACCAGATGTTCTCTCTAGGACTTTGATTCTTAGTTGAAGAAGTAAGATTTGACTCCTGCATAAAGAAATCTAGAGGTTGAAATGAGTGTAGTGTCTAGGGTGTGAGAACATCAACCTGCTTCAGCCACAAGCACTTGGCTGCCTGTGGATCCTGCTGCCAAGATCCCTTCATTCCTGCCAGTTTTCCTGGCCAGTCTTCAGCTTCCCATTAACTATGAGTTCTTCCATTCTGCTAAAAATTGTCTTTCATATTTAAGATGGCCAGCATCAGTTTCTGTTGCTTGCCTCCAAGCACTTTATATGACACACAGGATAACTTCATCTTATTTATGAAAGCCTAGAGAGATATTGATTTCTGTAAGTAGACTCCATACTGGGGATGGCAGAGATGGAAAAGGAACTGTACTTCAAGATAAAAATGTCTTCAGTCATCTTAAAGGGGTCAAGTTCAATAGCTTGAGGATGGTAAGATGTTCCATTGTAGCAGATCAGTAAATGAGTAACTGGTGAATTGAAGGAGGCTATAAATACAGGCAAATTTAAGCAATTCTAAAATACTAAAGATCTTCATATTTGGTTACGGGGACAGGATGTACATGTATGAGAGGTAGGGTACAAATGTCATAGGGAGAAATGTGAGAAAATCAAACATGGCACTTAGAGCAAATCAAGCAAACACGTAACAAAATGTGTTGGTGGGGATGGGGTGGCCTAGTGGAGAAGGAACCTGTTATAGCCACTGAATGAACAGAATTGCTTCCGACACATCACATACGACAATGTGCTGGGTTTTTACTATGATCTTCCTAATTTGTACCACTATTACAATTGAAATAAGTTATATTACAGCAGGAAAAAAATAAAGAAATTGCTACCATTAACAAATTTGAAGGGATTATGTTAATAATCAGTTTTTAAAAATTGAGAAGAGGGGGTCTCACTTTGTCACCCAGGCTGGTCTCGAACTCCTGGACTCATGCAGTCCTTCTGCCTCACCCTCCCAAGTAGCTGGGAATACTGGTGCGTACCACTACCCAGCCTTATCATCAGTATTGTTGATATTAAAAAGAAAAATCAATGAAAGTAGGCCCATGATTGAGAGAACATTCCCCCCCGCAATTCTTGCAGATACCCAAATTGTGAAATACGACTTTTAATCTTTGAAAACTCCTTATTTGGGATTAAGGAAATATGCTCCTCTTGAATATGAAAATCAATATTGATGTACTGGTTAGTTTTCTTGATATATTTTAGCAGATTTCATTAATTTTTTTCCATCAGAAATGATGTTTTTGTTACATATGTCTTTAGTGGCAACATGAATAAACATAGAATAGCTTTAATTTCTTTCTTTTGCCATTACTACAGATAGATTGGCCATATTTTGTGGGGGATGGTTAGCATGTTGCTATTTCACAGTTGTCAATAAATTCATAAAACATTACTTTCAGCAATTCTGTAAAAAGTCTTGTTTGCTTTTCTATGTTAAATATATTTTGAATTGCTTTGAAGTAAAGAAACTCTAAAGTCCAAAGAAGATTGAAAAAATGTTTTAACATTATAAAATCTAAAATAAAGCAAACACTAAAAGGAAACGTTATTTTTTTCAGTAAATTACTTGACATGCAGCTTCAACATGAGACTACATACAACACACAGAATACAGCCCAAGGCTTTACGGTGTCTCTAGTCTTTCTTTTAGGTTTATCCATTTTATTCTTAGCACCTGACACTGTGCTGGACACATGATAAGTACTCAATAAGTACTGATAAGAAAATGAATAAATAAATGGATAAATGGTGTCTACATTTTCTTGATTACATGACTATGACTTCTATGTAACTAGTTTCTATAATTTCAACTCACTACATATAAATTCCAGGGGTGCAGTAAGTTGTCATCTCTTTATCTCTACAAAATTGTGAAATCTGAAGTTTGCCACATAGACTACCATTAAGAATCTCTGCATTGGCCGGGTGCGGTGGCTCACGCCTGTACTCCCAGCACTTTGGGAGGCCAAGGCGTGTGGATCACAAGGTCAGGAGATCGAGACCATCCTGACTAACCCAGTGAAACCCTGTCTCTACTAAAAATACAAAAAATTAGCCAGGTGTGGTGGCGGGCGCCTGTAGTCCCAGCTACTTGGGAGGCTGAGGCAGGAGAATGGCTTGAACCCAGGAGGCGGAGCATGCAGTGAGCCGAGATAGTGCCACTGCACTCCAGCCTGGGCGACAGAGCGAGACTCCGTCTCAAAAAGAATCTCTGTATTTAGCACGGAATACTAACCTTTCAGTAGGATGTTTTTGATTATATATATATATATATATATATATATATATATATATATATATATATCTTTATCATATATATCATATATATACACACTATATATGCTTGTGTGTGCATATATATATGTACACACAATTTTACATATATTTAATGCTAAAGAAACTTGTTTAATGGTCTTTGTTTAATGATCTTAAAGTTGCCCTGTGTGATAAATTAACAAAACTAAAACTAATCATGCGGGAGTTTTTTTTTTTGTAACTTAAGAATCACCTCACTTTCATAATAATAAATTACTTTTGAACATGAATATCATTATTTAATGATCCAGGACACTACACATATAGAAACAAGTTTGAAGCCCTTTGAGGGTGAACAAATTCTTTCTTTACTTCCTTTAAGAGTTTTTTCTAAGAACTGAATAGTTTAAAAATTGTGCTATGATTTGACCAAGCTGAGTCAGAAAGATACAGTGAGGAGGAAAAGGGAAAAAATGTCATTTGGCATGGTTCTAAACTTGTAGAAAAGCTACTGTTTAATACTATCTTAAAGAAATATATCAACTTGCCTTTTTTTCAAAATGCATCATATCATGACAACATTTCCATAAAACTACATTTTAACATGGAAAGTATTATTGTCTTCAGTTTAGAAATAAAATATCAGAATATCATAAGGAGCAGTGGACTTGATACTGCAGTCATAGAACTAGTAAACAAATTAGGGACTAATACTAGAGATTCATGTCTACTAAATAAATGCTCAATATATACATCATATTTTCTTTTTTAAAATTATACTTTAAGTTCTACGGTACATGTGCACAACGTGCAGGTTTGCTACATATGTATAAATGTGCCATGTTGGTGTGCTCTACCCATTAACTCGTCATTTACGTTAGGTATATCTCCTAAAGCTATCCCTCCCCCCTACCCCCACCCCACAACAGGCCCCGGTGTGTGATGTTCTCCTTCCTGTGTCCAAGTGTTCTCATTGTTCAATTCCCACCTATGAGTGAGAACATATATGCATACTACGAGGCCTTTCAGTATCTTCCAGTAATGGGAGTGACGACTCTCCTAACTTTTACATGAATGAGATTTTTAACAGCAGCATTAAATGACTGCTATTTTCAGGTCATGATGTTAAGAGTAAAATGACATTATTTCCATATAGTTTTTCTCTGACAGCAATAAAAAGAAGATGCTTTTGTTACATGTGTCAGGATTGGCCATTTATGTCCCAGCCACAGTGTGGTTCCTCGAAATATAGAGATAGCATAGAAACAAAAATGACCAAAAGCAGTGGCTGACAACTGGGCTATTTTATAACTCTTTTGGAACGTACAGGATTGAGCGACAAAATACTTCCATTGAAAGTCAGAGGAGTCTTTCAAAAGATTTCATGGGTTACACCCTTTCCTATATTGTAATATCTTCAATGTGCTTTTGCCCTCTCCAGATATTCTTTCCATGCTACAGCGTAAAGAGGCAAAGCTTATCAAATAAATCTTTCTAGGGTCTATTTTCTCTCTCTCACTCTCTCTCCCACCACCACCCCGAGGATCCTATCTAAAATTGGGGAAATCAGGAAGAACTACAGTAATAGAAAATCTCCAATGCCTTAGAGGAGATCTTAGTCAATTAACTGGATAAACAAAGAGAGAAAGAAAAGTCTTTAAATACCTGTCGACCTTGAGTAAGTATGTCAGATATCTGCTTTGGATACAGAGAAAGAAAAGATCCCATTTTTCTACCAGTCAGCATAGGACACTAAAAATGGTTGAATGTTAAGTGTCCTTATGATTCATTCTTTTTTTTTTTCTTTTTTTGAGATGGAGTGTCGCTCTGTCGCCCAGGCTGGAGTGCAGTGGCACCATCTCCGCTCACTGCAAGCTCCGCCGCCAGGGTTCACGCCATTCTCTTGCCTCAGCCTCCCGAGTAGCTGGGACTACAGGCGCCTGCCACCACGCCCGGCTAATTTCTTTTTTTTTTTTTTTTTGTATTTTTAGTAGAGACGAGGTTTTACCATGTTAGCCAGGATGGTCTCGATGTCCTGACCTCGTGATCCACCCGCCTCGGCCTCCCAAAGTGCTGGGAGTACAGGCGTGAGCCACCGTGCCCAGCCGATTCATTCTTAAGTACCTAGGGAATTAGCCTTTGATATTTTCCTTAGGATTCATCAACAGTGTTAGACCACTGAATATATCCTGAGACCTCCAAAGTCCTCACTATTTCTCATCTTTTTCTCCAATCCACTTGATCCTTGGTTCAAACAATTAGCAGTGATAAAGATCATCATTTACCAAAATGGATTTTTGCAGGACAAAATACATTGTCTTGTGAGTTGTTAAGAATTTGGGGTAGGTATGTATAGGATGTGGCAGGGAGGAAAGTTTTTAGCTGAAGTACATTTGAGAAATGCTGTATTGAATAAAGCCAACGCATTTGTTTAGCACAGTGAATTTTCAAATCATCGATAAATTAATAGCATTTCTAAAGCATGTTTAATCCTATAGCCCTGTTACCCACCACTCCCCACCTTCACCACTGTGGACACCATCTAAATATTTTATGAAACTTTAATGTTTCCCAATCTTGATGTGCAAATGCTGACACAAAGGCTGCTGCTTGCCCCGTGTTGTGTCCAAAAGATCTGCAGCCCCAGCGCTCCCCGTTCCCTATTACAGGCTTTTGAAATATTTCCTGGTTGCTGCTATTTGGTCAAATGACCTCAGAAGACCTGGAGCATGATTGAAATCATTCATCCCCAATAGTGTCATGTTCCTTCCCTCATACAGATCAGATTGTCTTGCTTCCTAGCTGTTCTCCACATGTTTTTTAAAATCGCCCGCTTTTTTCTATTTTAAAAATTTTTTTATATAGCCTGCTCTGTCACCCAGGCTAGAGTGCTGTGGTATGATCGTGACTCACTGTAGACTTGACTTGCCAGGCTCAAGTGATCCTCCCAACCCAGCATCCCAAGTAGCTGGGACTACAGGTGTGTGCCACCATGCCCAGCTAATTTATTTTATTAGTTTTTGTAGAGATTGGGTCTCACTATGTTGCCCAAGCTGATCTCAAACTCCTGGGTCTTGACCTTCCAAAGTGCTGGGATTACGGGCATGAGCCACTGTGTCAGGCCTTATTTTCCACTTTCTGTTGAAAGCGTTACAGATAAGTTTCTTACTTTATTCTCTTCTAATTTAGGAAAAGTAACGATTTCTTAAAATTATTTTGTATTTTCTCTCTTATCAACCATGTACTGTATTGCCTTATTTTAGCACAACTTTGGGCCAATATACATATACACACTGCTCTATGTTGCTCTAATTTATCAATATAGCATTGTTGGTATACTAGAGACCTACAGAAAAGTTTATTTGACCCTTTCAAATTTCTCCTGAAAAAATTACAGTTTTAAGTACTTATCTGTGGTCTATTTCTTAGCATCCTATTACTTATTGGTTACCTATGAGGGAAAAAGGTATGTTTTTCTAGATCATTCGTTACTACCTCCCTCATGGTCTTTTGTTAGGATTTTCCCTTGACTGGAATTTCTGCTGAAGTTCAGTGGGAGTGGGTAAAAAGGAAATTCACAAATAAGAATACAAGTCAATCTTAGGTGAAATTTCTAATTACTTTCTCACCTAAATAGAAAATGACATCTAATTGTTGGCCTTTCATCAGGTTAACTGGCAACGTGACGAAATTACCACAGTAAGAGTATTGTTAACATCACAATTTGTTTGGAATTAGGCTGTGGGAAAGAGGAGTTTCTACAGAAAGTTAAGCCAAGTTAAACAGAGAAGGGAAAAAAAATACTGTTATTCCCTTTACTCCAAGTCTGGGTTAAAGGGTTGATTATGTGGGAAGATGCCAAAGGGTCAGATATGCAAAACCCGTGGAATCTGGCTTCCTGACAAATACCTAAATATAAATTATGGTTTCAAGTACTTTTTCCTATTTTGTTCCATTAATTTGGGAATTCTGATATAGATTGTTATCAAAACCCAAAGGAAGTAGTTTATTCTTTCTTACAAATGGTTGGGATATTTACTAAGTAAATAAAAAGTGAATATTATAATATATTTCTGCAAAGATATTTATATGGCTTTAGAGACACCATATTTTTCAGTTAGAATATAACAAGTCAATTATACAATAAGCCCTTAATATATTTTTATACATGTATGATCTCATGTCTTCATTGACTCTTTAGAGAAGATTCTTAATGGAATAGAACATTTCATAAAAATTTATATATTATTGTCTTTAGTTGAAACATAAAGCTACATTAATTTGGCATTCCTATGTATTATTTGGAAGTTGACTTAAAATAATATTACTAAATAATGTAAATTATTGAAACTAAATTGTAGGAATAATTGCTCCAGCTCAAATCAAGGGCCAATTTGATGACATTATCGCTGATGTTTTTAATGGATACTTACAGTGTGAAATAACTTCTCTGAGGTCAACCATGCACTGCATTGCCTTATTTTAGCACAACTCTGGTCCAATATACAGATTGCTCTATGTCACTCTAATTTATCGATATAAATATTATAGCATTGTTGGTATAGTAGATGCCTCATATGTACTGATTACTGTATTGAAAAAATATTGTTTCTTTTCCAAGAATCATACTGCTGTTATTTTCATTTTAAGCTTATGTTCCTTTGGTTATTCTTTTTAGACTTGAAATAAATTCCCTAAACTTGAAATCCAAAACAATTTCTTTATTTTCCTTTTCCTCTTCTTAACCCAATGCCTATGGCTGCCCTGATGTAAGTCTGTTTTGAATCAATTGTATTTTGACCAAGAGCTAATAATTTTTCCTCGTAGCCCACTAATCCTACTTTAGAAAGTTTGAAATATTTCTAGAGAGGATTGGGTATTTTTTTTTCCTTGCTAACCAAGGACTGCTGTTACTTGTCCTCTGACAGTAAGCAAACAGGAATGCCAGAGAGTGTGGAGCTAAGATCAGATACTAAGTCTACAATTTGATGAGAATAAACAGGCCATACATACTTTTTACTAAAAATGTCTTTTTTCAATATGTTTTATTTAGCTACTGCTCCTGAAAAGGCACAAAATTATCTGTCTTCTACAATATGTATTAACCTCATTGAAATAATGCAGTTTCAGGATTGACTCATTGACTCTGGTATAAATAAAGATGTTTCTTAGATAAAAATAACAAGTTAGAAGAAATGGAAGATACATAAAATTTCTTTTGGGTGGAAAAATTAATAACTACTGAATTTTATAGTTAACTGTCTAGAATCAATTCTTCTGTTAGAAATAGAAAAGAAAATTAGAGAAGCTGGACTTGTTTTCATTCTAATTATAGACTGCCGAATCTTCTGACAGCTCTGAAACCCATAAGAGAAGATGAAAGGCAATTTGTTGTGTGTTGATTTTGTATAATTCATTAATACACACTTCATGTCAGGTTATAAAGACAACTGACAATTTGACACAGCATTTCCCACCCAAACCTTTACATTCTCTGATATGAATTTTATTTTTAGAAACTGCCTTTGAAAAACTGGATTTAGACAATATATGCTCCTCCCTAAATACAGTTTGTTTAGTGTTTCTGTATATGCACAGTGGAATGTTGCCTTTTGAATGATAAGTGTTTTACTGGAGTGCTCAAAATGAAAAAAGAAGGAAAGTAAAAGGGAAGGTAGAAGTGAAAAAGAAAGAAGTTATAGAGAGCCGAATAAGTTTAAAAAAAAAAAAGTAGAACTAAGAAGATGCGGTGTGATAGGGAGAGAAGAGAACAGGAGAAAGTGAACATCTGGTGAAAAGGAAATGACAAGGAAAGAAAACAAAGAAAAAGGGAAAATAAAAATAGAAAAAGGGTAAAGAAAAGAGGTAGAAATTAAAAGAGAGAGTAGTTTGTTGTTAGCAGATGTTTTGTTGCTGAAGCTACTGCTGAAGATTGAAACTGCACTCCTTTCCCACTGGGGGTGAGACTGACAATATAAAGAACAGTTTATCTTCACAGGTACAGGACAAAGACAAGACTAGATCATCCCTCTGCCCACCCTGAGACAAATGTATATTTGACTAGTTCCTCTAATCTATGTTTATTTTATCTTATGTTAAATGCAGATTGACTGAGTACGTAGTTGACTGTTCCTCTTTCCTTCCTGCCCTCTCTTTCCTCTTTCAATAGTGAAATCCTCAAAACCATCTTTGGAGAAAGCACGAGCCACAGATTCTACTGTGACATGTGTCTCTTTTCCCTGGGTATGCCCTCAACATTGGCAAAATAAATCTCTAAATTAATTGAGACCTGTTTCAGACACTTTTTGATTTACACTTGTATGAAATATTTGATCTTGATCAGGCCTAATCAAAAAATAAACAGAATATTTTTTAACTTTGGCATAAGAGCATACCAGTTGTCTTTTATCTATGACCAACAACTTCAGCATCGGCAAAAAAAAGGACATTTTCTTCCTGTCTAATTTACTGATAAGGATTAACAAAGCTTTCTCACACTAATTAGTTCTTATTAGGGAAAAATAAATAATGACATTAAATTTCAATTGCATAGGATTTTTAAATTAATAAATCTTAAGCTAATAATTTTTTGAAAAATTAAATAACATGTATATTTAAAAAGAAAAAAAACAGCTGCTGATATAGTATAATAGCAGTTGAAACAGGTCTGTGCTAGTGTTCAAACTTCAGAGAGATAGTGATGACTAACTGCCCTAAGCATAGCTGTGTAGATTCCATGGACAACTCATATTAGAATGAATTTTGCTTGTGTGTTCAAAACTAAATAATACTTATCCAGCTCTACAAACCTTACAAGTCATGTCCCTTCAAATCATTTTACTGACAAGTTTTGATTTGTCTCCCTGTCCTTCCAAGCAAATCCCATTTGTATAAAATCTACTTTAGCATTAATACCCTTCCCTGCATACATTTTCAGGTATAGATAAAGGAGACAAAACATCCCTATGCTTTGCTACTGATGATGTCACCACTTTCAACATTCAGCCTTTACTATTAATTTTGAGCATATGACAAATAAATAAATGACCACCTCACATTTCTCTTGTGGTGGTATCCAAGTCCAGGTACAAAATACAGGTTTTGATAAACTTTTCTTAAGTTCAGACTGATCATAGACTCATGTTAAATAATACGGGCTCTCATTCCTCATTTTACAGATGAGAAAACTGAGAATTACAAAGATGTAATAACTTAAACTTCTAAGAGCCACAATTACCCCATGATTTTGGATTAGGTCTTACAATTTTGCATGAAGTTATTAAAAATTCAGATAGACTCTTAACCAAAAACTTGTGCTTGTACATTCTTTTAGTTACTAAGTTTCTAACTATGAAATTTATATTCAAATTAAAATATTAATATTACATTTAGTATTGTAAGCCACTTATCATTTTTATCAATATTAGAAGCAGAAGCTATGTTCAAGCCACCGTTTACCAGAATTCTCATCTCCAAGAGTGAATCCTGCTGTATCAACTTCACAATACTAAAATGGCCAGTAATGGACACAGAGATGGGGGGTGAGAAAGAGAAGTGGAGAAGTGGAAATTGACTTCAGGATGCTTATGCCATAAGATGTTAGGTTTATCTTCTTTCCTGTCGAAAGTGTTACTCAGATTTTTTAAAAATCTGCTCACTTGTGTGTGTGCCAGGTACATATTAATTGGTTGTTATAAATGAGAAAGAATGCCATGCAGTCTAGTTAAAATGTCAGGGTCAGAAAGAAAAGGTGAACCTCATTAGAAAATAAAGAAGTCTTACTTTTTTCACACACTTGGGGCCAAGACACGATGAAAACATATTTCCACATATAAGGGATTTCCATTATTTGCTGTTCATTTTCTGTCAGTCTGGAGATGCTGGAGAAGGGGATCTAGTTTTAAAAGGAAGAAGATAAATTGGAACTAAGATAAGAAGGCTCTATCGAACAATTCCATCAATCACTTCTCTTTTAGGGTTGCATCCAGGATGCCTGCTTCTACTTCATGGGTGTGTCCTTGCTCCCCATAAAGCAGAATTTGTTGATGATTCTGATCACTGAAATGTACACTTTTTCTGTTATCTCCAGAGTCTCTGTGCTTGCACTAGTAACTCTAGTAGTTGTGGGTGAGAGATGGAAAGTCATAATTTTGTTTGAACTCCTCCTTACCTGATCTTTCCATCAAATCACCAAACTTTTATTCCAGCTCCAGGAGGGTATATGATGCTCTAATAGGGTTAATAAATTTTCTAAATTTAACATTATTAATAGGAGAACCAAATGCATACAATTTTTGATGTTTTATACTTAATAGACTTAAGTATAAATACATACCTTAACATATACTTTTAAAAGTATATACTTTTATTTTAAAGAGTATAAACATATATTTAAAAAATATCCAAGCAGATGGACTCTTGAGATCAAATTTCTGCATTGTAATTACAGAATAAGATTATTCAATTTCATCAATCTGCATATGTGTAGAAAAATAAAAAATAATTTCTCTATTGCTCTTTAGATCTTCTACATGTTCACACCTGGAAAACAAAACTTCCTTGATGCTGGGAAATAACAGTAACAAAATAGGGAAAAATGGCTTCATGGAACTTAAATAATATTGGGGGATAGAAAACAAATAGAATAAATTAGTAAAAATACAGTCTGTTAGATAGAAATAAGCGCTGAGAAAGAAAAGAATAAATCACAGTAAGATGACGAGAAATGGTGGAGGTTGGGACGGGGGATCTTAAAAGTATAGGCAGTATGGTTAAGGTAGATAATATTGGTTAAGTAGAGAATATGTGAATGAAGTCCTGAAGGAAATGAGTGAATGAAGACCTCTTCTCACAAAGGAGAAAAGGAATTTGGACCAAAATCATGATCAGGGCAAGGTCCCTGATGGGAGCTACCCTAACAAGTACAAGAAGCACTGAGAAAGCCGGTGCAGCTAGAGCAGCAGGAGCAAGGGTGAGCATGGCAGGGGATGAGGTCAGACACATGGTGAGTGTGACTCTTAATGAGTGCATAGGGAGTTCATGGGAAGGTTTATGAGCAGAGGACAACAGTGTCCGAGTTATTCTTTGGCAGGGTTCCCCTAGCTGCTCTGTTAAATTAGATTGAATGGGTAAAGTAAAGTATTAGGAAGACCAGTTAGAAGGCTATTTAATAATGTAGGTAAGAAATTCTGGTGGAATAGATTGGGGGGTGTGAAGTGGTCAGTCTTTGGTTTTAGAGACAGTCTTGCTCTGTTGCCCAGGCTGGAGTGGGCCAGTCATAGCTTACTGCAGCTTCAAACTCCTGGACTCAACTGATTCTCTCCACTCAGCTTCCCAAGTAGCTGGGACTACAGGTCCCACCACACCTGGCTTATTAATTTAATTTATTTATTTTTGTAGAGACAGGGTCTTGCTATGTTTCCCAGGTTGGTCTCAAACTCCTGGCCTTAAGTGATCCTGCTGCCTCAGCCTCTGGAGTAGCTGGGATTACAGGCTAACGTCACTGTCCCTGACTGCATCAGTTTTGAAGTTTTAGCCATTAGGACTTCTCACGGATTAGGATGTGCCTGGCAGCAAAAGTCAAACATGATCTGAAGGATTTTTGCCTAAGCCACTGGGATCATGATGATGCCATAACTGATATGAAGAACAATCCAGAAGGAGCAGATTTAGTGAGGGCGGGGAGACTGGATATTAGAAGCTTCATTTCAGACCTCTTAACTTTGAGATGTCTATTAGACATCCAAGAGGAAAGGTCCAGTAATCAGTTGATTACGGAGTTCATAGAAGAGATCATAGTAAAGATAAAATTTGGGAATCTCCATAAAATTAAAGGGAAATAAATGAGCATAGTTTTGTGTTTTCCTTTACCCGCCTTCAGTGGAGGAGTACAGGCAGGTAATAGGCTAAAAATGGGAATTGAAATGTATTCAAGGAAATAACAATTATTATTGGCAATGAAATTTTGGCTGGGTAACAGTGAAAAAGGGCTAGGCGTGGTGGCTCACGTCTGTAATCCCAGCACTTTGGGAGGCTGAGACGGGCGGATCACGAGGTCAAGAGATTGAGACCATCCTGGCTAACATGGTGAAACCCCATCTCTACCCAAAATACAAAAAATTAGCTGGGCGTGGTGGCGGGCGCCTGTAGTCCCAGCTACTCGGGAGGCTGAGGCAGGAGAATGGCGTTAACCTGGGAGGCAGAGCTTGCAGTGAGCCGAGATTGCGCCACTGCACTCCAGCCTGGGCAACAGCGCAAGACTCCGTCTCAAAAAAAAAAAATAAAAAATAAAAAATAAAAAAAAAAAAGAGTGAAAATGACACTATGAGGAGATTGAAAGAAGATATGGTTTGGTTGTATGCCCACCCAAAATCTCATCTTGAATTGTAATCCAAATTGTAATCCCCACGTGTTGGGGCAGGACCTCATGGGAGCTGATTAGATCATGGGGGCATTTCCCCCATTCTGTCCTTATGATGGTGAGTGAGTTAGCTTTTCCTCCTTTCACTCATTCGTCTCCTTGCTGCTGCCATGTAAAGGACATGTTTGCTTTCCCTTCCACCATGATTGTAAGTTTCCTGAGGCCTCCCCAACCCTGCAGAACTGTGAGTCAATTAAGCCTCTTTTCTTTATAAATTACCCAGGCTCAGGTATGTGCTTATAGCAGTGTGAGAATGGACTAATACAAAAGATAATGTAAAGCTTGTAGGATTAATGAGATTTAAGGTCCAGTGTGGTAGAAAAATTATTATCGTTGTAGAATTTGAGCTGTGTAAGTGGGGAGTGTATTAGGGTTCTCCAGAGAAACAGAATTAATAGTTTATCTACAGATATATGAAAGAAGATTTATTATGGGAATTGGCTCACGTAATTATGGAGGCCAAGAAGTCCCACAGTATGCCATCTGCAAGCTGGAGAACCAGGGAAGTCAGTTGCGTAACTCACAGTCTGAGGCTGATGGACTGAAAACGGAGGGCTCTGATGTTCAAGGGTAGGAGAAGGTAGATATTTAAGCTCAAGGTGAGAGGGTACATTTGCCCTTCCTATGCCTTTTTGTTCTATCTGGACCCTCAACAAATTGGATGAGTCCCACCCCCATTGGTGAGGGCAGATCTTCATTACGTCTGATACAAATGCTCATCTCTTCCAGAAACACCCTCAACAGACATACCCAGAAATAATGTTTGCCAGCTATCTGAGGATCTCTCAGCCTAGTCAAGTTGACATGTAAAATTAACCATCACAGCTGGAAAGATTTAATATGGTATCTGAGAATTAGTTGTGTGAAACTGATATTATGAAAACATTGAGATGTTTGGAAATGGCAAAATGAATAACTGAGATAAGATAGAGAATAAGATCACTAGAGGATAGAAGCAGGAACTGGGAAACAGTAATATTGCATGAATTGCCAAGAATGAAACTGATATTCTCAACTAGCAAGGCAAGACTTGAAGAGAATGACAGTGAACAAATATTCAGTTACAAGTTACTAGTAATAACCCAAGAATTCAGTGGCTTAATAATTTATTATTACCTCTCATAGTTTAGTGTGATAACTAGGCTAAGTTGAGCATGTCTTCTTGGAGTCTTTCCTGCAGTGATTGGCTGGGGGCTTTCCTGGGACTGTCAGCTATAGTGCCTTCTCATGGCCTCTCCATGTGACTTGGGCTTCTCATAACAAGAGGCCTCAGGGTAGTCAGCCTTCTTTCATGGTGACTGTCTTCTAAGAGGCAAGAAGCAGAAAGAGCCAGATGAACTAAGGGTTACATCCGGAAATGGTAGGTGATACTTTCACTGTATTCTATTGATTAAAATAGTCAAAAAGCCTGAAACAATTTAAGAATGTAAAGAAACAGACTCTAGTATGACATGGGAACATCCCAAGGTTACATTGCAAAAAAAAAAAAAAAAAGAAGTCAGGGTAATCTTTGGAAAATTCTGTTAGCCATAGACAAGGAATAAATTATAAGGTATTAGTGGCCTAGATGGGTGGAGGTGGCAAGGGTAACGGTATAACATTCATGACTGCAAAAAGGGGTTATTTAAGTAATAAATGAAGGCTGGGGCAGACAGAGCCAGTCGTCTACCAATATATATTTTAAAACATATTTTCCCTCTCCGGTAACAGAATTCTGAATTTATTCATTGAGATATTGTGTCTTAGTAAGATTTCATTTATCAACCTCACTTGTAATGAAAGATAGATATAGATAGATGTTCAATGAAACATAAACGAAAGGCCTTCAGTGGATATCCAGGAAAGGTCTTTAAAACTGGCAAAAACGTCTGATGTTTGCCTCTTGTGGCTCATTCCCCTGGTCTTCTCTCTCTTTCTGGAATATAGGTATATTAGTTTTCTTTTCTGCATAGCAAATTATTACAAACTTAGTGGCTTAAAATAATATACATTTATTATCTCCCAGTTTGTGGGTGTGGAGGCCAGACACAGCTTAGCCGGTTTTCAACTTCAAAGTCTTCCCAGGCTTCAGTCCAGATGTTGGCTGGGGCTGCAGTCTCTCTAGAGGTTTACAGGGGGAGGATCTTCTTCCAAGCTCCCTTGGGTTGTTGGCAGAGTTCATTTCCTTGTAACTACAGGCCTGAGGGTTTCAGTTTCGGGCTGGAGGACATCCTCAGCTCCTAGAAGCTACCCACAGTTCCTTGCCAGGTGGACTTCTCCAGTGTGGCTGCTCACTTCATGGCAGGTTGAGGGGGAGGACTCTAGGGTCAGTGTGCTAGCCAGACAGAGTGTGACATAATGTAACATAACTATGGCAGTGGCATCCCATCATCTTTGCCATGTTCTGTTGCTTAGAAGCAAATTACATGTCCTGCCCATGCTCAATGGGGATTCTACAAAGCATGAGTACCAGAACATGGAGACTGTGATGAGTCACCTGCAGGAATGTCTGCTACAATGTGGGTGACAATCACAATTCCAATAACTATCTTGTAATTTTGAAGAAAGGAATTAAGCGATAAGAAGAGCAAAACTTGGGTCCCTGAGGATTTCACAGAGGTGCTGAACCAACCTTGGAATACCTGCCTCTGATTTTATTACCTGAGAAATAAATCTCTAATTTGCATAAGCCCCTCAAATTTTATCACTGTCATGAGTTGCTGAACACAGTTCTTTACTGATTCAGGCACTAACCCTTTATTTTTACCACTTTTAAAATTATGTCTTAGGCATATAATTGTACACATCCTCTTCTTTCTTTTTTACAAAATTCACGAGAGACTAATGTTCCCCTTATTGTAGATAATCACATAAATTACAACAGCTTCCATTGTTAACTACAAACTAACGAGTCCCAAAATGATAGCTCCAAGATCTTCTCTTTAGCTCTCAGATTTCTTATCTTTGATATACCTAGACACTTTATATTCAAAAATACTATCTTTTCAGTTGCCCAGATCAAAAATATGATAATATCTCTTCAATGTGATTGGACATGTTTCCTTTAAGGTTTAAGTGAATAGTGCTCTATAATGGAACTCAAAACTGAGAAGAAAGCAGATGGTGTTTTAACACAATAAATGCCAAAAGTTATGCTGCAAGGAAATGTAAATCTCATCTCCAGAGCCCATATGGACCATTGGCAAGAGATTAACCATTGCTGTGGAAGAGCTCTGCTATTCCTAGATGCTCTGGCAAGACTAACAGAAGCAGAGAGAGAGAGAAGAATGAAAAAAAGCAATCTGTGGATCCCAGAGCAAGCAAACACATCCCAGGAATTGAATATTCACTTTCCCAGCCAGGCAGCATAAATGGCCGGGGAAGAGAATAGTCATGATTCACCATGCCTCTAGAACAGCACTGTCCGAAAAACTTTCTGCAATGATGAAATGTTCTGTATCTGCTCTGTCTAACAAGGCAGCTGCCCATAACACGTGGCTATTAAACACTTGAAATGTGGCTAGTGTGACAGAGGAACTGAATTCTTCATTTTATTTAGTGATAATTAAATTAGATCTAAATATCTTGTATGGTTAGGAAACACATTGGACCATATAGCTATGCAGCCTGTGAAGTTTCCTTTGATATATTAGGGGGTTGAAGTGGTGCTACCTGCTGGAGAAAGGGCAATGGAAGCCTTACCCTGATGGACAGGAGCAATGAAAAGGCCAAGACGTCTGAGAGAAATCTGAAGGGTGGAGTGTTGGGAAAAGAATAATTCCACATTGGGTTCTCTCCACACAGTGCTTAACATCCTTTAGTTAGCAAGTTAAAAGGGGTTTGGAAAGGAAATTAACAAGTTTTGGGGCTATAATATATATATTATTTTATTCTAAGAACATTTGGGTATTTGAACATCTAAAGTACCAGCAAAAGAGTATGTAGTCCTTTCATGGAAGATTATAGTTTTAAACAGCACTTTAGCCTGGGCGCGGTGGCTCATGCCTGTAATCCCAGCACTTTGGGAGGCCGAGGCAGTTGGATCACGAGGTCAGGAGTTTGAGACCAGCCTGGCCAATACGGTGAAACCTCGTCTGTACTAAAAATACAAAAATTAGCTGGGCGTGGTGGCGTGCGCCTGTAGTCCCAGCTGCTTGGGAGTCTGAGGCAGAAGAATCGCATGAACCCGGAAGGCAGAGGTTGCAGTGAGCTGAGATCATGCCACTGCACTCCAGCCTGGACAAAGCAAAACTCCACCTCAAATAAATAAATAAATAACTAGCACTTTAAAAATTATGAAAATAGTAACATTGTTATGATAAATATTTGGAAAATATGAAGCATCCTAAAAAAAATCACTGGTAATCTCATTACCAATAGCTTACTTCTGTAAAACTTTTAGTGTATAATATAACCTTCCAATTTTCTTTCTGTGTGTATCTATGTGTTTGTATTTATGTGTGTGTATACACGTATACATACATATATCCAAAATATATATACATATGTAGATGTATATATCACAACTGATACACACATATCAGTGTATGTAATACAATTGGTCCAATACTGCTTTGTTCCCTTAACAGTAGATTGTAAACATATTTATAGGGGTCCTCATTTATCTGCAATGTGATTTCAAATGGGAAGCAACATGATGAAGTGTTTTACCCCCGGACTTTGGAGCCGAACTACCTGGATTTAGGTCCCAATGTGTGATTTACCTATTGTGTGACATTACGCAAGTCCCTTATCCTTTCTGTACCTCAGTTTTCTCAATTCAAAAGGTTGCTGTGATAAGTAAATAAGTTACTATATGTAAAGCATGTATTACATCTGGCACAAAGTAAGCACTATATTTATGAGCTATTATTATTATCATTATCAATGGTTGGATACTATCCCATCCTATGAATAGATCATAATTTAAATAACAAATCTCAAAATATTTCATACCCAAAAAAACTTCTTTTTAATACCTATAATAGAATATAGCCATTATTTTAATTAATTCAAGTAATGGTTTATGTTATAAAAGATCAGGGAAAAAAGTAAATGAAGTTAGTTTGTTCTCTGTTGAAAGCAGATATTTAGAAAAAATAAGTTACAAGTACATAATTATTTTAATGGATATATATATACATAGAAATCATTTATGTTGGCATTTTTAAACTATAAGAGTTTCAAGAGAAAATGTAAAAGGAAAAAGTCATAGATATGTTTCTACAGGTTTAAGAGTACATATTCCACCAAATCTTTATATATGCAACATTGAGAAGTGTTGTCTTAGAATTAACAGGGTGTTAAAAATATTTTGGTTGTGTTCCAGTAAGAACTATCTACACACAAACAGCAACTCAACTGGAAAAAGTCTCCACAACAAAATTGGTTTCCAGAACATATATTTCACAGGGTCCATTGCTTCTGCTCTAATCAAACGATCCTTAGTAAGTAATTCAAAAGAACATCTCCATTGGCAATTTGCTGACACTGGTTTTCTTTTCCCACAAATTGAAAACACTGATTAAGGAAAATAATCTGACCAGGCATGTGAGCAAATCCAGTGCCTGACAGGAAATCTGTCTGAAATAACTCTTCAATGGGCCTCCCCTATTATCTAGATATTCCAATTCCTGTCTTGGGAACATGGGAGACTCCTTTGGGGCTGAGGGTAGAGATGAGATGGAGGAATCATATGAAATTGTTAGCTTCAATTTGTGACATGCAAGGTTAGACTGAGAAGGAGAAACTGCCTGACCAGGGTACATGTGTCCTGCTATGTAGTTATGAAGGTGTGGCGCTCCTCTCTATAAATATATTGCAGAATGTGAGATAGCTCACTATCAGAGAGTATATTATATTAAAAACTCTCTCTGTTTACTTATCTCTTCTAGCTTTGCCAAGTTCATAATTATATACTCTCTATGAATTACATTAAATAATTTAACATGTCTGGCAATGGCTCAAAACCTAAGACATATTTAGGAAAATGCCCAAGTTTCTGTGGTTTTTGTTCTAAGAATCCTGAAGTCTTAGTCAGAGACGTGGAGTAACTGTTGGGTCGTGGCCAGTGTACTTGAAGTGATGGTGGTTATGCTTGCTCCAAAGATCAAGAATAAAACATTTTTCTGATCCCAATCACCTTGAAAGCATGATCATTCTAAACTTTTTATGCTTTTCACTTCCAAAAAGATTTTCAAGGTAACCAAAAGTATTAGTTGATAATACAAAGATTTTTTTTTCAGAAGCATTCCAGCTAATACATATAAAAGAAATGTGGTAACTAGAAAATCATCAAATTGCAATTTGTAATGAAATAAATGATATAGACAACAACAAAAATTTGCTGAGCTAAGGCAAAGAATGAGAAGGTCTTCATCATGAGAAAAACAAATATAATTTGATCGGACTCTTGCATGGTTCTACCTTTGGTTAAGGATGCCCTGATGGTTTTTCTGCTATCTTCTGTATTTTCTTCACTAAGTATCCTTGTTCCTCCCTCCTTTCTTCCTTGAATCCTTTCTTCCTTCTTTCACTCCTCTAATAACTATTTATTGAGACCATGTTATAATTGGCATTGAAGATGCAAAAACTGTCCGTGTGCATTCCTTGTCCTGTCCTTCAGGGACAGTAATGAGTAAGAAAAGGGCAAAAGCGGCTGGGCACAGTGGCTCATGCCTGTAATCCTAGCACTTTGGGAAGCCAAGGCAGGTGAGGTCAGGAGTTCAGGACCAGCCTGGCCAAGATGGTGAAACCCCGTCTTTACTAAAAATACAAAAATTAGCCGGGTGTGGTGGCACGCACCTGTAATCCCAGCTACTCGAGAGGCTGAGGCAGGAGAATTACTTGAACCCGGGGGGCAGAGGTTGCAGTGAGCCGAGATCGCTCCACTTCGCTCCAGCCTGGGCAAAAGAGCAAAACTCTGTCTCAAAAAAAAAAAAAAAAAAAAATAGAAAAGGAAAGGACAAGAGCCAGACACCAGTAGGTTTGAATACCAGGTCTATCATTTCTATGCTGTGGAATTTGGGGCATGAGACTTAGGACCTCTGAGCTTGATTTTCCACTTAGAGTTATTGTGAAGATAAATGAGAGAGAACTCTCAAAGCACCTAATACAACCACGCAGTAACACAAGCACTTGAGAATGGTAAGTCTACTACCTTTCCCGTCCCCCTGCCCCACACACTGGTGCGTGAGAACAAAGAGTTCTTTCATTCCTAGCCCTGTCTCCAGTGTGGGATCTTTGGCTCTGAGCAGGGACCTGGACACTTCTGCCTTAGCTGCCCCTGTTGAATCACCCACATCCCCTCTTATGAGCTGTTCACGTCAGGCCTAATCACCATCAACTGAGGAAAGCCCACGGGCAGAAGCAAAGGGAAAATGGAATCTGGTCCAGCGATTCCAATTTAGCTTCCTTTAACCAAACAAGTATTGGCTGACAGGATGCAGCATGCCCACTTATACCACATGTACCAGTTCTGAGTTTCATTTTTATTTTCATAAAAAGTTGAAGCTACAGATGTGATTATGATACATGATATACTTCTGTAAACATAATATTCTTTTGGAAATATCTTTTCTTCCACGATCCGTTAACTCTATTGATAAAAATTAATACTTGGTCGATAACTCTCAAGAAAGAATCCTTCTCATCTGTCCTGGCCTCAAGCCTTTCATTCTGCTTTCAGCCTGACGCTCAGTGGTCTCTGTAACTCTTGGAATCTTAACTGTCTATGAACTCTCAAATCTGGAAGAGCAGGATTTCTTTATATTTCTCATACTCTCTTTTGCTCTCTGTGTCATGTGTATAATCTACAGTTTTAGATGGTTATGAGGGTTTTAGTTTCTCCCTTTCCCCTTGTTGTCCTGACAAGGGCAAGTAGGTTCTGATGGGCTTTGGGTGGGTGTTCTAGATAACAGATCTCCACAGGAGAAACAGAATTTGCATCAGAGCCTGTCTCCACCGCTCTCACAGGAAAGGCCTGTGCACAGGGACCTGAAAGTGAGGTCTTTAGCCTAGATAATGTCTTCTATTTCTTACATTATGTGACATTATTATGACTTTTTGCTACCTCTATGGGAATTCTCTTGTGAAAAATTACTGTAAACGATTTTTTTAAAAGTCAGTTACGATGATGGGAAAGGACAGGGCAATTAATACTTGATTGATAACTCACAAGAAAGAAATGTTCTCATCTGTCCTGGCCTCAAGTCTGTCATTCTTTCAGCCTGACACTCAAAGGTTTCTGTAGCTTTTGAAATCTTGACTGTCTGTGAACTCTCAAATCTGGAAGAGCTGGTTTCAATCAATGTAATACAAAGTACTGGTGGCATTCCTTAGGCTGGATAACTGCTCTACTAGGATCTGGGGAAGAACATCAGAGGCAGAGAGAGCAGCAAGGCCCTAAGGCAAGAAGGAAGCTGGCAGGTTGGAGAACAATAAGGACAATGATCAGACTGAGGCATAATTACAGAGGGCAGACTAGCAGGGATAAGTGGTTGGAGGCCAGATAATAGTCTCTTATAGGCCAGAGGTATGGTGGGCCAGGACAGATGTGGTTGAGATTGTCTTCTCCAGCACTTCAAGGAGCTGTGAGTTGAGGCAGGGGTTGAGATCGCTCCTTTAAATCTGGAGGAAAAGTCACCAGCAATATCTCTAGAAATAATGCTTAGTATTCTAATACCATGATACACTGCTGGAACCGATTTTTCAAAAGACTTAAATCGAACGTGTAACCTAGTGCCTTTTATATGAGGAGAGTTAGTTTAAGAAGAACCCAGGAGGCAGAGGCTGCAGTGAGCTGAGATCGTGCCACTGTACTCTAGCCTGGGTGACAGAGTGAGACTTTGTCTCAAAAAACAACAACAACAAAAAACCACAATGCGATACCACCTTATTCCTGCAAGAAGGGCCATAATCAAAAAAATAATAGATGTTGGTGGGGATGTGGTGAAAAGGGAACACTTTTACACTGCTGGTGGGAATGTAAACTAATACAATCACTGTGGAAAATAGTGTGGAGATTCCTTAAAGAACTAAAAGTAGAACTACCATTTGATCCAGCAATCCCACCACTGGATATTTACCGAGAGGAAAAGAAGTCATTGTACAAAAAAGAAAGAAAAAGATACTTACACAAGCATGTTTATAGCGGCACAATTCGCAATTGCAAAAATATAAAACCAGTACAAATGCCCATCAATCAACAAGTAGATAAATCAATTGTGGTATATATACACACACACATACACACACACACACACACACACACACACACACACACACACTATGGAATACTACTCAGCCATAAAAGGAATGAAATAATGGCATTTGCAGCAACCTAGATGGAAATGGAGACCATTATTCTAAGTGAAGTAACTCAGGAATGAAAAACCAAACATCATATGTTCTCACTCATAAGTGAGAGCTAAGCTCTGTGGATCTAAAGACATAGAATGATATGACGGACTTTGGGGACTCTGTGGGAAAGGGTGGGAGGAGGGTGAGGGATAAAAGACTACAAATTGGGTACAGTGTATACTGCTCAGGTGATGGATGCACCCAAATGTCAGAAATCACCACTTAAGGAACTTATTCGTGTAACCAATCCCCACGTGTTCCCCGAAAACTTATGGAAATTAAAAAGAAAAAAAGAAACAGAGTTAGTCTATTTTTTTCCCATGCAGGATGCTTTTGGTCAAAGGACACCACATAAAATCAACAGAAATAAATCACAAAACAAACTCCAAGGTAAGTGACAAAGTTCAAAATAATGTAATTTTAACATACCACTCAATAGGAATGTTCATTAGGTAGCAATGCAGGTTTCGAACATAGAAATGAATATATCATATTTTAATTTAAAACATGACAGGCAATATCAACTTGTATTACTGAGAATTTCATATAAGTACTGTGTGCTAACCAATTGCACTACTGGAGCTCCTTATCACTAAGAATTTTAAACCCAAGTTCTATTTGTAGTTTTGTTAACTGATGATGTAATAGGATGAGTTGCTCTCACAATTAAAGTAATCAATGAATGTAGATTTTAAGAGTAGAATGGTAATGACACTGTTTCATAATGTAGACTGAGAGGAAATATTATATATTAATAATTGTGACGATAATAAAAAGAGAGCTTTGTTGAGGGTGATCTAGTAAACTGAGTAAATGTTTTGCAGACAGATTTCTGTTCTAGTCCCTGCTCTTCTATGTAGAACTCATATGAATTGCTAAAAATCCTTCGACATGGCTTAGCCTCCGTAACTTCATCTGTAAAATGGGAATGATCGTATCTATCTGTCAAAATTATCTTTCTTTAGTAAATGAGATAGCGTTTGGCAAGCCTCTACTGAAGTGGACTCATACCCAGTAGTCCTCCCATCATCTCTCCTGTTACTCAGGCCTCCCTTGCCCACAATCCACCCGTACCATAAATATAAGGCACACCAAAAACTGATCTGCCTCAATAATGTGGTTAGTTTCATTTGGGTTTTGTGAGTTACTCATCAGAGTGATTTATGATGCATCTTATCACAGAATAGTTTTTGCAGAGATAATGATTTAGATGCCAGTCCAGTCCTTCTCCCATAGAAAAGATATCCATCATGATAACGCATTAGGGTTTAAGTCTTAGAATTAACAAAATAAAAACTCCCTGAAAAATTTAGCACAATTTAATACATAGCCTCAAAGTAATGAAAGAGAATGTACCATGTTCCAATATATATGCTATGTACCAACATACCATATACCAATGTAGTATACATATAACTAGTTACTGAGGTCATTGATGCTATTATACCTAATGAATCAATTTTTAAAAAGGAGAAAATAATAAAAATTAGCTAGTTAAGGAATAGATATGAGTTAGGGTTCATGGAAATAAAATTTTGACTGTTTGTGTTCCCAAACTAAGAGCAGGACTGTTGTTTTATAATTAATGAAAACAGAGGAATCTTATCATCTGCATGCCAGACTGAAAGAAATGGCATATAATAAATCTGTCTTCCTTGTTCTTTTGCAGTGTTTCAAAGCATGTACCTTATCTCCAGGGAAATGTATGCAGCTTGCTTTTAGTCAGTTTACTGATTAAAGGAAGGAAAGCTGAAGGCACATTTGCTCAAAACATGTGGCCCCAAATTTGGCATCTCATTTGTTGCTGTGTGGTCTGCACTATGCCCTGCTACCTTGCTGATGCCATTCTCCATAATCTGACTTTTCTAGTGGAAGAAAAATCAGCTTCACAGAATGTGTTCTTCTCCATTTGTATTATGAGGTAAAAGGTAGTATGCACTTTTAAAGCTGAACAGAAGCAAATTTTAATAGATGCTAAGTTTATATTAACACTATCTCATATATTGACATACAATTATAGTATTAAAGGATTTGGAATAAAAAGCAGTCTTACGTAAGGACTGAAATGGAGGACTGGGTAAGGCTACCATAAGGTAAAAAACAAACAAACAAACAAAACCCCAAAAAACAAAACCAGGAAAAGTGGTGAGTTGCGATCAGTGATTACTAGATTTGCTTGAATTGTTAGTAACCAGGGCAAATAGCAACAAGCTGGTCAAGATTTATGGCTGTCGGCGCAAACTATTCCCAAACCACGACTTGGAAACTTAGAAGAAGACATATTTCTAAGAAGAGAGAACGTTTTCCTTAAGTTCTGGTTTTTGATAAGCTTGCTCATTATTGTGAGGGCATCTGTCTCACTCAGCTGACCCATCACAGCAAATATATCTGTATCTTTTTCTTAAATGGAGCAGTAGATCCTATTTGCATTTGTCTCCCACTGTCCCCTTCCCGTGGTAAATCTGACTATAGTACTTAAAAAGTTTATGTACTGACCAGCGCAGTGGCTCACGCCTGTAATCCTAGCACTTTGGAAGGCCGAGGCGGGTGGATTGCCTGAGCTCAGGAGTTCGAGACCAGTCTGGGCAAAATGGTGAAACCTCGTCTCTACTAAAATGAAAAAAAACAAATTAGCTGGGTGTGGTGATGTGCTGTAATCCCAGTTACTTGGGAGGCTGAGGCAGGAGAGTTGCTGGAACCAATTCTGCCTTGGGAGGCAGAAGTTGCAGTGAGCTGAGATCATGCCATTGCACTCCAGCCCTCGTGACAGAGCGAGACTCCATCTCAGAAAAAAAAAGAGGTTTATGTTTATGTAGGGAATAAGTAGGCATTTAGCCCTACTTATTAGCCCTGGCTAGCAGGAAAGTAAAGAGTTATTTTATAAGAAATATTACTAATTAATGTGGCGATGAATCAAAATGCGTGATTCACATCATTGCTGCAAATACATTTATATAGGATCACTTAAAGTTTGGTAACAACTGTGCTTTGCTAATCAGCCTAAGTCAAATGTGAATGTTGTAGAACATCCTAAAATGACCTGAATAGCAATGATACCCATGAAATTTCTATAAAAAATCATTATCTGTTAAACAGAACAATATTCCTTACAATCCCATCATAATGTATATTCTTTATTATTTGGTTAAAAAAACACATATCAAAATTTATCGTTTCAACAGTTTCCATAATGTGTGTTCTTAATGCTGCTCTTAAGATCCAGCAAGACTGTAAAGCACTTTTTGTGAATCAGCAGAGATGAATGCACTCAGTATCATTTTGGAACCACATTATTTGCTGCAGTTTAATACTTGAAAATATTTTATTCATATAAAGTGTTTTTTCCCCCAAGCTAACCACATCATTAGAATTGCCTGGGGAGTGGGGATTAAAAAAATAGATTCTTTCCTGAAACATTTGATTTAGTAGTTCTGGGGTTGAGATGAGGGATCTGGGTGTTTAAAAAATTCCCTAGGTGATTGATTCGATCAGGCTGACTGGGAAACACAGATGCAAAGAATGCATATCCCTACTTATTAGAAATATCCTTTTTCCCATCCGTGCTGAGAAGCATGTTGTTAATACTGTCTTCTTTTACATATTACTGAGTAATAGGAGTTTTCTTCATTCATGTAGGGTTTGAATACTTGAGGGTTCTCATGAGCTGTTGGTGCCATCTCGATGCCACCCTCCTAGCTTAAAACCTCCCTTTTAATACCGACCGTGGGAGAAGTGGAAGAGGTGGGCTATTTATTATGTGCTAGCCTGACATGTCTTAGAGGCTTAGCATGCCTAACTTATTTCTACCAGTCTTTTATTAAACAAAAATTATACAAGGGAAGTTCCTAAAACATAGCTTTAGAAAAATTGTCCACCCTAAAGGAAAATATTGGTTCAACAAATAGTTGATTAATAAAGTTGAGTGTTACCTTGAATATTTTATTTAGTGCACAGACTAAAATTTTGGATACTGGTCTCGTTTTTTCTTCTAAAATAACAACTACTTCTCTATTTACTAAACTTGCAATTTGCTCCTTTCCATGTCAGGTTTTGTAACAGGTACAAGTGATAAACATCTGGCTTTTAAACAGAAGAGAAGTTTCTGCAAGCATAATGTAAATATTAGAACAGGAAAAGAGAACTGAAGCTATTAGAAGCCTATGAGCTGATATAAACATTTTTAAAAAGCAAGTTTACAAAACATACAATTTAATTCCATTATTTTACAATAAAAATAAACATATTAAATCAACACCTATATGAATAAAGAAAAATGAAGACTGGAAGGAAATATATCAAAATGTCAATAGTGTTTTTTTTTTTCTGATTCTGAAATTCAGGGTATTTTACTTTTATTCTCCCTTTTTATTTGTATTTTAAAACTTTTAACAATTAAGATGTATATTTATGATAAAAACTATTTAAAATTATCTTGAAAAGTCACATTGCTTTTCCTGAAACATTACTGAGAATATGTTTTTTGTGACTTGCTTTTCAATTCCTCCTTTAAAATTGACCTTGGAAATTTTGTCTGATATTTGTATGTTCACCCAAGCAGTAAATTTATGCACCAAAAATCTGCTACAGAAAGTTCACACTGAAGGGTGTGTTTGATAAGGTGACATTAATAATATACTGTCAAATCTATATTTATATATCTTCAACTCATTTGGAAATTTTTAGCTCTAGATTAAAACAATTTAATCTTTTATGTGAAAAGAAAATGGGAACAGTGTTCTGAAGAAATAATTTAACAAAAGGATTAGGGAAAAGGTTATGCATAATAACCTTATATAGAAGTAATTTTTTAAAACCTCGAACTACTTATGTTTCAAGGTAAAAATGTCCTTTTTTGACATAATTGTTTAGAGAAAAATTATGGTTGGATGCAGTGCCCCCTCCACCTATCTCTCTCTTCTCCTTTGAGAGGGACTTGATTCTAATGCTGTCATGTCCAATAAAGGAGTGAAGTAGTTACAAGTAACTATCAATTTCCTCAAAGATTTTATGTGAACATAATTACGCTCCCCTTAAACATCCTATTGGTGTGATTTAAAGATAAGATAGCGATTACTTTGATGTTTTAAAATCACACACAAAGAAAGCATACTTGGATCTAGTCAAGTTGAAGATGGTCCAGATTTACTCTCCCTCCAGATACCACCAACCAACTGAAAACCATATATGAAATAATGGTGTTCAAAGATTGACATGAGACAGCACAAGGGAGGATCCCTAAAAGAGGGAAAATAAACCTGGTAAACTCTATGATGGTTTCAGTTTACTGACTGGAGGGAAAACCCAGGAAGAGGATTGAAAGAGACTTGTGTTCTCCCTGAGTTGAGGAGTTGTGTTGAGAATCTGAGAATGCCAGGGAGTCTCCAAGCACTTGTAGAGCAATTGAAAAGAGAAAAGTACTTTGAAAATACAATCAGAATAAGATATACAGCTGCAGCCTGAAAAAGCCAAGAAAATTCTGACAATTTACTCTCTCAAAGGGTAAACAATTCCAATGAAAATTGTGTTTTACCCTAGAGATCTTGTGTTATTCTATGTGAGCCAAAATAAGAATGAATATTTCCTTTGGAACCTCAGGAATCTTGATTAGATAAGATGAACTAAATCTACCTTAGGCTATTCAATTAAGAATGGGGGATCTAGTGTGCCATTTAGAATAACTCACACTGTTGTCATTGAACATATAGTTAGCTGTGCTCTATAACATAATAAAATGAAAAAAATCCCTAAAAGTCTAACATCATAAAAAAATCAGTTAAATTATGTTAGTCCTTATAGCTGACATTTTATAATGGAGCCCAGATTAGATTGCTCTATATTAAAATTTAGGGCAGAAAAAGAGTGATTGATCAGAATGCTTTTCTTCTTTTCTGTACTTTTACACAAGATCAGAGCTTTGTCTTCTGAGAATAGACCAGGGGTCATAAACTCAAATTCCAGAAGATGCAGCCAGGTAACACACTACATTGAAGTTGAGAGCACATAACACACCTGAAGATATTAATTTAATTAAAAACAAAAGCATGTGTCATCTAACCAAACACCTGCCTATAACTCAAGTGTTTGTGACTCTTGGAACAGACTTTGGTTTCTTAGAACAATGGGTACCTCTATGTCTAGAAAATTATCTGGCCTAGAATGACACCCCATAGATATTTGGTACAGAGACTTGGCTCATCTCTGGTGATCTATAGAATGGCTTGACATTATTGGAGGCTTCCTTGAACAGCTTAATTTTTAGGGAGTGTGAACTAGGGATTTTACAAAAAGAATTAATAAAAAAAACCTCAAAGTGATTTTAAAACTTAATGACATTGTGAAGTCTATTCTTTTGTTGAAGAGGGTAAAGTTTGAATAGTGCCAATAGCCATCTAAAATGTCCTTAAACTGATTTCCTTCAAGCTCATGTTTTGAACCTCTGTCAATGCCTAAGTAGTTCCACTAACTTAAGGCTAGGTGCCAACTAGTCACTTAAAATAAAAAACAATACATTAGCAACAGCATGCTTATCACAGATGTATTGGAAGGGCTGGTGACTGAAATTGATAACACATATTGTGATTCTTATATAATCCTCAAGAGACCTTTAAGGGAGCATAAGCAGATTCAGCAACTGCAAGAATTTCAGAAAGAACCCCTTCTAATCACACAGCTTACCTGAATATTTCTGTTCACTATCCAAGTGAACAGTGAACTTTATTTGGAATTTGTGCTGAAAATCCCCCATTTATCTCTCATTTATTTTGAGACAGGGTCTCGCTCTGTCATACAGACTGTGGTGCAGTGGTGTAATCATAGCTCACTGTAAGCCTCAAACTCCTGTGCTCAAGTTATCCTCGTGTCTCAGTGTTCCTAGTAGCTAGGACTACAGGCATGTACCACCATGGCCAGCTAATTTTTACATTTTTTGGTAGAGACAGGGTCTTGCTATGTTGCCCAGGTTGGTTTCAAACTTCTTGTCTCTAGTGATCCTCCCACCTCTCCCTCTCAAAGTGCTGGAACTACAGGTGTGTACCATTGTGCCCAGTTCCCTTTGCCTTTTGAGATCCTTTCTCTATCCTCTCCAATTTGTTCTGTGTCCTGGGAGCTTGGCCTGTGAGGAATGCATCAAAAGGCTGCCTTGCCCTCTGACTTCTGGTTGGATTCAGCAAATGAGGGAAACTGAGAAGAGATCAGAGGGATGGAGGAGCATGAAGTTGTGGTATTTATTTCATTGGCTCCCTCTCTTAGAGGTTGTCATAGGGGGGTTGCATCCCTCAACCAAAGTACACAACTCCCATGAAGAGGTCTTCCTTCCCTGGACAGGTGTCTCTGTCTCTGTCTCTGTGGATCTCAGTAAGATCCCCCTCTCCTTCGCCTTCAACGGTAAGAATAGTGATAGCTCCACTGTTAGGATCCCTAGGCTGGAGCACTCATCCCTGTTGCTTTCTCTAAGCCCCGTCCGCATCTTTTAAATAGTCCTTATTTTCCGCTTGCTCCTCAGCTATCTTGAGGGTGTTGTCGATTTCCTGCTGGGAGTCGACTGAATACACATGCAGTGTGAGGACAATGAGCATTTGGTTGGGTACATGAGCAGGGAGAGAGGAGGCCGGCCACAATGAACGAACCATCTCGCGCACTCATCTGAGTGGTCTGATAAGTAGCACACAAGAACGTGTGTGTTTGATGGTACGTATTACTAACAAAAGAAAAAAAAAAAACTACTTCAAAAGGATCCTAACAATTCTCTGAAGCTTTTTGCTAAACTTAGTGAAAAGCATTCTAAAATCACACAGTGAAGTACAGTTCAGTTGGATTACTGAGATGTTCTTAGTCAAATCAGCAACAAACTTTTAAAATGCCTTATTGTTGGTATTATCAAATATAGTAATGAGCAAAGAATAAGCAGAAAATGATAGTAAGAATGTAGACAAATATGGAGGAGAGAAGACTGGGGAAAGAAGTGACATTAAATTGGCCATGAAGTTATAAATTACTTGTGTCTTTCTAACTTAACACAGTTTTGCTAAAACTTCTAACAAAAACACATCTTTAACAAAATTTGTTTTTGAAGATTCTATATATGGAATCAGTTTAGTTTTGTCTCAGGGTACATGTACTGAGGGAGTAAACAAAAATAATCAAATTGCAGATTTTCTATAAAACATGAAGAACATGTGCATTAGAGGAATTACACTGATATAAAATGAAGGTTCTTATACCAGCATCATATGACTGTTTATCCATAAGCAGGTTTAAAGTCTGCCCAAGTAGTGGGAAAGTTAACAATGGCCATGTTAATCAGATGTGCTTGAAGTCAGTTTGTTTTGTATCTTAGCATGCTTCACTTTTGGGGGTAATATCTCCACGGTTGAGTGCTTCCAGGCTGTTAGTGTTGCAATTCTTCTTTCATCTGGGTGAGCTTTATTTGATCACAGAAATGTTAATAGCACTGCATCTGGTCAATTCTCTAATGAGCAGAAGTGTTTTCTTGATCAAAACTTCCCAGACAGCAGAGGAATAAATAGATGTTTGCATATATCATTGACTTCATGTTTCATTAAGCTTGACTTCAGAAAACATTTCTCCCATACAAATATGCAATACTTGGAAAGCTGAAATGTGCTATAAAAAATGAAAATGGCTTACTAGTGCAACCAGCTGGATTCACTCACTGCTCAAAATGTGGTTTTTATTACGAATGAATTGGCCTTCAGGGGAGAATTTTCCCAAGGATATGAACTCTGATTACTTAATATTACCAGTAAGTACAAATTAAATAAAGTGAACTGTGTAAATGAAGGCTGTGAATACTGGAATCCACTACTGAATACATTTCACAGAGATATCTTTGGGCATGTTTTAAAGATGCGTGCCTGGGTGTACTCAGGCTGTGGTGTGGTAAATCACCAGCAACCTTTTTCTCACACTTAGGTCTGCCATGAAGAGATAAAGAGAAAACATTTTATTTTCTTGCAGCAAAAGTATATTCCCATGAAGAGGTAGAGAGTTCTTTTCTAGAGGTCTCTGGGAAATGGAGAATTTTATTTCTGAAAAAAAAAAAAAAAAGAAACTAGTATGAATTTCTTCAATACAAAGAGTAGAATACACGTACCCTGAATGTGTTACAAAACCTGGTTTCTCCACCTCCAGTGACACTGCTAGCCACAATCACTTTGAGATACCACCATATTTAACTTCCATTTTAGGGTCTAAAGCCATAAAAGTGAAGCAGTCTCTCTGATGATATAAACCAGCTAAAGTCACCCTTCTGCTTAAAATCTTGCAGGAGTCCCTCATATATTTTGGGGCAAAAGTGAAGTCTTTACAATGGCTCTCAAGGTCCTGCTCCCACCTCTGGTCTCTCTGACCCAATCCTTCTGACTGTCCTCTGCCTGTCCTTGCTTACCGCTCACTCCTCTCCAGTCACATTGTCTCTCTATCTGTTCACAGCTCACATAGGCACAGGTCTTGGATCCAGCCTTTCCTCCGCCTGGACGCTCTTCCAAGATATGCGCATGGCTAACTCCTCTATCTCCTTCCAGTCGGCTTAAATTCAGCTTCACCACAAAGTCTGCCCTAACAGCCTGATTTCATAAAGCACATTGCCATCCATCTTCCATCCGCCTCTTATCCTCATTACCCTCTTCTACTTTGATTCTGTTTCCAAAGCATGTATCATCATCTAACATACTCTATAATTTATTTATATGATGTTTACTTTTATTATTAATCTCTCCTCCACTGGGATATAAGCATGAGGCAAAAGTCTTTGACTGTTGTTCACTGAGATACATCAACACCTAGAATGGTAGCCAGCCTAGGGTAAATGACGAATAAATATTTGCTAATTTGAAGGACTGTAGATAAAAACAAGGACATCCAACTTTTTAAAACATTCATTTAAAAAGCCCCAAACCTAAAAATACCTCAAACACATGTATTTCTACTGAGAAAGGAAGACTAACACTAAATAATTAGCTGTAAGCCTTTAATATATACTACTTGCTGTTTAGACGAGTAGTCAGCAAACTATTGCCTGGGCCAAATGTAGCTGGCCACTTTTTTTTCTTTCTTTTTTGTGATCAAACTTTTATTGGATCACAGCCACACCCATTTGCTTGCATATTGTCTAAGACTGCTTTTTCTCTACAACAGCACAATTGAGTAGTTGTGACAGAAATCCTCTGGCAAGGAAAACCTGTTAACTGGCCTTTTAGATAGTTTGCCTACTGACTCCTGATTTAGATCCAAGTTAATGACATTTTGCAAACAAATTGATGTCCAAATGATAGCAATTATCCAAATAAATGTTTTCAGTTTATACGTTTGCTATAAGAGCATAGTTTGAATGTCCCCTGTAAAACTCATGCTGAAATTTAATGGCCAGTGTGATGGTTTGGGGAGGTGGGGCCCTTAAGAGGTGATTAGGTCTTAAGAGCTCTGCCCCCATGAATGAATTAATGGCTGGTTATTGTGGCAATAGATTTCTGGTAAAGGGAAACATTTGGCTTCCATTTGCTGTCTTGCCATGTGATACCTTTCATCATGGGATGACCTGGCGCCATGCTCTTGGACTTCTCAGCCTACATAACCATGAGCCAAATAAACTTCTGTTCTTTATAAATTACCCAGTCTGTAGTAGTCTATTACAGCAGCAGAAAATGGACTAAGAGTAGAGGAAATCTAAACAAGAGAGACTGCTTAAAGTGATATTGCTTCAAGCTGCAACTACCTTTGTATCTCTCTCTGATGTGTTTTAAGTGTTTAAATTTTTTTCATAATTTATGGACTATAATTGAAATTGAAATATGCCAGAATTCTAAACCAAATGACCACTTGAAATCCCATCTTAATTTATTTTATTATTCAAAATTCTACGTACTTTATAATGTTATTTTACACTTTATTTACATTTTATAATATGCTAAATTTTTTGGTAATATGTCCTTAGTGTCCTGTTTCTATTTAAAAACAGTTCCTTTGATGTTCTCTGAAAGGTATTGCCAGATATCATTACACTATATTTATCCCTCAGTAATTTTCTTGAACAAAGATAAAATTTTTCTTAAACTTTTATCCTAGATGTACAATTAGCATACCTTATTTAGCAATATCATTGTTAACCTAATAGCTGCATTATAATTAATAATAGAAAAGGCAGATTAAGATGACGGATTTATTATTATGCTTAGTAAAACATGATAACTAGTGCTTTTAAGGGAATGCATTTTGGTGCTATTTTAAATAATACTGAATTGAATATACTCAAAAGTCTTTTCTAAACAGAAGTTAAAGTCAACCTGAGGCAAGTAACTGTATAATTCAAATGAAAAAACACTTTTCTTAATTCCCCAAATATTTTTTAGATTATTTTTTACATTCGTGGTATGTGAATGTGTGTGGTTTATATGTGCGCGTGTTTGTGTGTGTGTATGCAGATAGATAGATAGATAGATAGATAGATAGATAGATAGATAGACAGATAGATAGATAGATAATATAGAGGGTTCTGCCTGGAGGCTGGCATATAGGAAGTTTTTAATAAATATTATTGTTCTTTTTCTGTATAGTCTTTCCCTTTCACCAATAGGTATCAGAAGTTGAAAAGACCTTTAGAAAATTCTTGCTAATAGAAGAAATGGAAATAGAGAAATTAGGTAAACATGACTTAAAGTCTTCATGTTAGACCTGAATTTTACAGCTAGTCCTCTTATATGGGCCATCCAACCAGACAATTGACTGCTTCATTTGGAACTTAGGTTTCAAAAGAAAACTTATTTTGGGGGAAACTAAGCCTGAGAAGATTAATTTATTGCCAATTTAAATGCCATTTTTGTGTCATTAGCCTACTAAAGGGTAGCACATCAGATTCGCAAACAAATATTTTTTCAGCCCCTACCAATGTCAGATGCTTTCATAAATGAGTTATTAAAGTTAAACATGTACAGATGTTTATTAAATAATTGTTAAATATGTCAATAACTTGGATTGAATATGCCATTATAACCCTCTTTGAATGAGGAAATGAGGCGAAAATTGTTTAACGGCTGGGTTTCTTGATAAAAAGGAATATTGCTTGTAACAACTTGTATTGCCAATAATTATCACAATGGATGATATGTAACAAATAATAAATATGTAATGCATAAATGGGTGTAGCCTGAATCCATATAGTCAGTAAGAGGTAGAACCCTAGATGTGAAAGACAATTTCTGACTTCAAGACCAGCATTTTTTTTTCCTAGGGTAAAGGAAAGCTTTCTTGCACAGGATAAAGGAAAGCATACTGCAAATATCATTCTAAACAAAAATATTCCCTCTTTCAAATGTTTGTTACAAAAATAGTAGTAGCCAGGTGAGTGACAATAAGAGAGGATTTAACAGCTTAAAAAAGGGGAATGTACTTAAGAATGTTTCAGATTAGTGCTCGATTTAAGTCAGAGACATCTTTGTAGACAATCACATAACAAGGATGAAGAAGATTCTAGAAATAAAGTGCAAAGCTTATTCTTAAGGAAAATAGTTGCTGGAAAACATGAGAGCCGCTGGCTTATTTGATATAGCACCATTAGCCAATAGTCTGTATAATTAGTCAATATTCTTTACAATATTCTGTACAATTAGAATGATTCTGCTATGTTGTAAGTTACAGGGATCTGATATAGTACATTTATGGGATGTGCAGTTAGAACTGAAATGGGGTTGGAGGATGTTAAAGTAAGATACTTATCCCAAATACTTTACCGGGGAAAAAAAGTGAATCCAGGGAGAACTTCATATATACGTTCTTCAGAAATTATTTATAATGTTGAATTTACTGGGGGTTCTTTCAGTTCACACTGGATTCCCATAAGCTGGAAGAATAAGCCATTAGCTTTCTTTCCTCAGAATTTGCTTAGTAAGCTCTTTCCTTTTTTTCAGCTTACATAGCTAATGTCCACACCTCTTTCAAGTCTATGCTTAAAACTCTCTCAGTGTGGGTGACCATCTTCAAATTTTAGAATTTATTTGATCTCCCAAATTGTGCTTCCATAGGACTCCTTTTTCATTACATTCATAATTATTAATTTAATGTATATTTTCCTTGGTAGCATAAAATCTATATCTAATGTATATGTTCTCTGTTAGTGCAACATCTATATCTCCAGTGAATAGGACACTGCCTGGAACAGATAGCTGCTTAGTAAATACTTAATGAATAAAAAAACTTCTAATGAGAGGGCTGTGAAAGTTTGGATGATGCGTTCACTTAGGTTGACTGAGAAGCAGACACCAAAATGGAATTAGGTGTATAAGAGATTTATTGGTGAAGGGAGCAAGAGAAGGCACAGAGAACCTTCAAATTGTGACATGAGTCTGACCTCTGTGGAAGGAGAGAGGGAAGGAAGGAGTATTGGGTAGAAAGAATGGCGACTGTAGCGCAGGCACAAAGGATGTTTAACCAGGCCAATGGGAAGCCTTCGAAGTAAAGATGCCCATTGGAAGA